>NC_000012.12:30138552-30291247 GCF_000001405.40 Homo sapiens | reverse complement strand
ATGTGTTTGCTCTTGCCTCTATAGTTCTTTTAATTGTGATGTTAGGGTGTCGATTTTAGATCTTTCCTGGTTTCTCTTGTGGGCATTTAGTGCTATAAATTTCCCTCTACACACTGCTTTAAATGTGTCCCAGAGATTCTGGTATGTTGTGTCTTTGTTCTCATTGGTTTCAAAGAACATCTTTATTTCTGCCTTCATTTCGTTATGTACCCAGTAGTCATTCAGGAGCAGGTTGTTCAGTTTCCATGTAGTTGAGCGGTTTTGAGTGAGTTTCTTAATCCTGAGTTCTAGTTTGATTGCACTGTGGTCTGAGAGATAGTTTGTTATGATTTCTGTTCTTTTACATTTGCTGAGGAGTGCTTTACTTCCAACTATGTGGTCAATTTTGGAATAAGTGCGATGTGGTGCTGAGAAGAATGTATATTCTGTTTATTTGGGGTGGAGAGTTCTATAGATGTCTATTAGGTCTGTTTGGTGCAGAGCTGGGTTCAAGTCCTTGATATCCTTGTTAACTTTCTGTCTCAGTGATCTGTCTAATGTTGACAGTGGGGTGTTAAAGTCTCCCATTATTATTGTGCGGGAGTCTAAGTCTCTTTGTAGTCTCTAAGGACTTGCTTTATGAATCTGGGTGCTCCTGTACTGGGTGCATATATATTTAGGACAGTTAGTTCTTCTTGTTTAATTGATTCCTTCACCATTATGTAATGGCCTTCTTTGTCTCTTTTGATCTTTGTTGGTTTAAAGTCTGCTTTATCAGAGACTAGGATTGCAACCCCTGATTTTTTTTGTTTTCTATTTGCTTGGTAGATCTTCCTCCATCCCTTTATTTGGAGCCTATGTATGTCTCTGAACATGAGATGCATCTCCTGAATACAGCACACTGATGGGTCTTGACTCTACCCAAGTTGCCAGTCCGTGTCTTTTAATTGGGGCATTTAGCCCATTTACATTTAAGGTTAATATTGTTATGTGTAAATTTGATCTTGTCATTATGATATTAGCTGGTTATTTTGCTTGTTAGTTGATGCAGTTTCTTCCCAGCATCGATGGTCTTTACAATTTGTCATGTTTTTGCAGTGGCTGGTACTGATTGTTCCTTTTCATGTTAGTGCTTCCTTCAGGAGCTCTTGTAAGGCAGGTCTGGTGGTGACAAAATCTCTCAGCATTTGCTTGTCTGTAAAGGATTTTATTTCTCCTTCACTTATGAAGCTTAGTTTGGCTGGATATTAAATTCTGGGTTGAAAATTCTTTTCTTTAAGAATGTTTAATATATTCCTTCCCTTTGGCTGCACCCTTCTCAGGAGCATTTCCCTGAGCTATTTGGGGCCTCCTTGCCTGGTGGGGCCTGAAAGTTGCATTTCTCCCTCTCCACTTTGTGCCTCATGCCAATCATGGAAGCCAACAATGGACAGATGTGTGAGGGTGGTTAGGTACAAGAGCCCCCATTGCTTGTCTCAAGGCAGGAGAGGTTCTGTAGTGCAATTTCCCTCCAGAGCTCCCCATGGGATCAGACCAAATCTTTGCTTAGTTTCTCCCCTTTCCTATCCTGCTCCCTTCACTGTAGTCCAGTTTCTTCTGAGCATGCTCCTTTGGAAAATCACTTGCACAGGAATACTCACCTCAAGCTTATGTATTCCATGCAATCTAAAATAAACATATGTTACTTTGTAATTTTCAAAATATTATTTCTTAAGTATGTTCTCTTAAAAATGCATTTAAATTTTGACAAATTAGAAAATGATCTATTAAAAGCAAGGAAGTTTATAGACAAAGCCAAATTTAGGAGAGTTCAACAAAAATTTTTTGAGTATTTTCT
Source organism: Homo sapiens (assembly GCF_000001405.40). Lineage (NCBI taxonomy): Eukaryota > Metazoa > Chordata > Mammalia > Primates > Hominidae > Homo > Homo sapiens. The sequence continues at coordinate 30,289,431 of NC_000012.12, read as the reverse complement.
ATATGCTGGATATTGTGGGAGTACTCTATATAAATCTAGTTTAAATGCTGTACTCAAACTTAGAGTGAGAGTAAAAAAATGACCAACAATTATAATACAGGATAATACATGAAATATTATAGGCTTCTGCAATATTCTGAAAAGAATACAGAGGAAGGCATAATTAGCTCTGAAAGAGTTAGGGGAAGGTTTCAAAAAGGAGGGTCTAGTCGGTCAGGCTTTTCAGGGTGTAAAGGAATAGAGCAGATGGTGTTGAAGGAGAAAGAACCTCTCAAAACAACAGAATAAACAAAAAGCACTGAGGCATGAGTCAACATGACAGGCAAAGGAAAGTAGAAATAGTTCTGGTGACATAATTTATAATATCTCCAAATGATGGAAGTATCATGCAGCTATTAAAATTGATATCTTAATGTGCATTTAATGACTTTAATATTTGGTGGAAGATCCTAGTGTACAAAATGGAACTTCTGAAGAAAGGCCTTGCTTGCTGTGCTGTGGGAATAGGAAATCTCTGAAGAATTTAAGTGTCAGAGTAGCTGTAATTCAGAGAAATCATTCTGTTGGTAATGTGGGGGGTGAATTTAAGGGGGAACAAGACTGGAAGCAGGAGCAAGATAGTAGCAGTGGAGGTGAAGAGAAAAGAATGGACTGCAAAAACCACCGGACTGCTCTGGTGGTTAAAATAGGCAGAACTTGGCAATTGATTAGAAAAAGTGAGAAGAGGGACCAAGGACCGGGAAGCTTATAGGATCACACCAGGTTTCAGGCTGGAAAGTGGAGCCCAGTTGAGTAGAGTGGGGGTAATGGAGCACTTTAGGACATGATGGATTGGGAAGTTCTTTACATATCTAAGTGGAAAAGTCTTGGAAGCTTTAAGATGTACTAGAGCTCTGTGAGGGTAGGAGATACAGATTTTGTAGTCATCAGCTTACAAATGAATGATTGAAGCCATACTCTCACTTCAGGAGAGAATAACCAGAGGAAGGGCTGAAAATCCTGGAGAACACCAACATTAACAAGGTGAGCTAAACGAATTCAGAGATGGGGTAGAGTGAAAATTAAATGGAAGAGTGTGCTATAGAGATAGCACAATGATTAAGAACTTGGTCTTTGAAGTCAGGTCACCTGAATACTAGTTTCCTTATAGGTAAATAAGAATAAAAACAATATCTATCCACTCATGAAAAGAAAATCCTCAACAAATAAGAAACAGGAGGGAACTTCACCAACATGATAAAAAAAATCTGTGAAAACCCTACAGCTAACATATTTCACATGGTGAAAGACTGAATATTATCCCCCTTAGATTGAGAACAAGATAAAGATGATAATGTTTATCAGTCTATTCAGCACCTACTAAGGTTCTAGTCAGGGCAATTAGGCAATGAATCTATAAAAGGATTCAGATTAGAAAGGAGGAAGTAAAGTTATCTTATTCACAAATGACATGATCTTATACATAGAAAATCTGAAGGAATCCACTTAAGAAAACCCCTAGAATTAATAAATGAGTTCAGAAAGTTCACAAAATAAACATACAAAAATCAATTGTATTTATATACACCGGCAATGAAGACTCGAAAATAAAATTAAGAAAATTATTTCATTCACAACAGCATCAAAAAGAATAAACTATTAGGAACAAATATAACAAAAGCAAGGTGTGTATACTAAGAACTTCAAAACATTGCTGAAAGAAATTAAAGACAAGTAAATGGAAAGGCATCCCACATTTATGGATTAGAAGACTAAATATTATTAACGTGGCAATACTCCCCAAATTCTTACAGGTTCAATCCAATGCCTGTCTAAATCCCAGCTGGCTTTTCTGCAGAAATTGATGAGCTGATCCTAAAATTTATATGGAAATGCAAAAGACAGAGTAACCAAAGCCATCCTGAAAAAGAACAGGATTGAAAGACTTATGCTAATTTCAAAACTTACTACAAAGATAAGGTAATACAGAGAGTATGGTACTAGCATAAGGACAGATGTATTGGTCAATGGAATATAATTGAAAGCCCAGAAATAACCCCTTTCATTTTCAGTCAATTGATTTTTGATGAAGGTGTCAAGAAAATTAAATGGGAAAGAAAATCTATTTTCAACAGATGGTGCTGGGGCAATTGAATATCCATCTGCAAAAAATTAATTTGGGTCCCTACCTAACACCATACACAAAAATTAGCTAAAACAGATCGCAGACCTGAATGTAAGGACTAAAACTATAAACCTCTTAGAAGAAAACATACTAGTAAATCTTTGTGATCTTGGGTTAGGCAAAGATTTCTTAGACACAGCATCCAAAACACAAGTGAGAAAAGAAAAACAACCCAGCAAATTAAACGTAAGCCAAATTACAAATTTTACACATCAAAAGACACGGTCAGGAAAGTGAAAGACAACCTACAAAAGGGAAGAAATAAGTCAGATATCTAATAAGTGACATATCCAGAAGGACTCTTCCAATCCAATATTAAAAGATAATCCAATTTAAAAATGGGCAAAATACTTTGAATAGACACTTCTCTAAAGAAGATATGACCAATAAGCACATTTAAAAATGCTCAACACTATTGTTACTAGCAAAATGCAAATCAAAACCACAATATCACTTCACACCCACTAGATTGACTATAAACAATAAGACAACAATAAGATAACAAGTGTTGGAGAGGATGTGAAAAAATCAAAACTCTCATACATTGCTGGTGGGAATGTAAAATGGTGTAGCCAATTTTTTGGAAAATAGTATGATAATTTCTCAAAATGTTAAATATAGAATTGCCTTAAACCCAGCAATTTCACTTCTAGGTATCTACACCCAAGGGAAATGAAAACATATGTCCAACCAAAATCTTTTAGGTAAATGTCCATAGTAGCACTATTCTCAAGAACCAACAGATGGAGACAAACCCAACGCCTACCAACTGGTGAATGGAGAAAGACATGTAGTATACCTATACAATAAAATACTGTTTACAATAAAAAGGAAGTTCTGATACATGCTCCACAGCATTGATATACCTCAAAAACATAATGCTTCTTGAAAGAGGTCAGACACAAAAGAACACATATTGAAACAGAATCACCTAATACATATACAGAGAAAAATAGATTAGTGGTTGCCTAGGGCTGAGTTGAGAATGATAAGTGACTCAATGGGCACAGGTTTTCTTTCTGGGATGAGGAGAATGTTCTAAAAGTAGATTTTGGTGATGGTTGCACACTTCTATAAACACACTAAATATACTAAAAATAATTGAATTGCACACTTAAAATGGGTGAATTTTATGGTATATAAATTATACCTTAATAAAGCCGTTAATTTTTTAAAAGTTTTAAAATTATAATATTTATCCCTAGCACCAAGATTGTGGTCTCCAAATACCACCTACCACTAAAAAATCCCCAAAACTTCTTGGAGAAATTGCTGATTTCAGGTCTGAGCCAGAAATGCATAAGATAAGCCTAGAACACATTGTCACTCTAGATGGCAAGGACTCTATCAAAGATTGTTAGAATGATATCAACAAGTCTCAAGAGGAAATTTAAAGGGACTCATTCTGACCAAATATAGGATATTTTATACATTGATAAGGATAATAATTGGAATGGATAGAAATACGTCAAATATGCTTAAATTTCTGCATTCATAATAATTATTTTTTAAAAATAAAAGTCATCGCAATCGTAGGATATAAATGAGACAAGACATCATTTTGAAAAAAATATTGAAAAGAAAAATTCAACTATCTGGTCTTTTCTATATAAATTGTACAACTGGGTAAAACAATAATTTATAAAAAGCAGTATCTACAGTATGACAGCCAATAAATAAAGAAGGAATGATATAATAATGCCATTATTTTTCAATTCATAATTGATCAATGGATGCTAACATCACCAAAAGAAGACAGTTAGACATTACATTTCTCCTGATGGAAGAGCCTAGCACAGTTTTTTTTGCCCTGCTCTTCAAATCCAACCTGAATTTGATCAAATCTTTGGATCAAACTATTAATTTATAGTAAATACAGAGAACAGAAGAAAGTGAGGGAAAAGTTAAAGAACTTCATGAGCATACAGTCAGGAAAATCCAAACTCTGAGACATGGCATAGTGAGGATGTATTTAGCGAAATCCAAAATATAGGAAAACAACCTGGTTTCTTCAATAAACAAATTGCAAGGGAGAAAAAGAAGAGATGAAAGGAGAAGCCTGTAGATCAAAAAAAGTTCAAAGACAAGCAATCATAAAGTGGGATTTTATTTGGATCCTGATTCAAGCAAGCAAAAATATATAAAATTAATGGATATTTAGAGATAACAGGATCCAATAACAGGATATTTGATATTAAAGAATAGTTATGCTGAGTGGTTGGCTTAATGATGGTATTATGATTATGTTTTTTTTTTTAGTTTTTTTTTCCCTGGGTGTGGTGCCTCATGCCTGAAATTCCAGCACTTTGGGAGGCCAAGTTGCGGCGGGAGGATTGCTTGAGGCCAGGAGTTTGAGACCAGCCTGAGCACAACAGCAAGACCCCATCTTTACAAAAATAAAAATAAAAAGTTAGTCAGGTGTGGTGTAGTCCTAGCTAGTCGGGAGGCTGAGAAAGGAGAACTGCTTGACCCTGGCAGGAGATTGATGCTGCAGTGACCTATGATCACGCCATTGCACTCCAACCTGGGTGACAGAGTTAGACCCTGTCTTAAAAAGAAAAAAGTAGAGTTCTTTCTATTACATATGCATATCAAAATATTTAAAGATGAAATTATATGATGTCTGAGATTTGCTTCAAAATAACAAGGGAGGAGGAGAAGTGGGTGGAAGCATACATTAAACAAGATTGGCCATGAATCAATAAATGTTGAATCTGGTGATGAGTATGTGAAAACTTATCACACTAGTGTCTTGTTTAAAGTGCTCCATAGCAGAAAGTTTTTCTAAAAATCAACTTCATGCATTTGTAGTTAGTAGTAAATAAGACCATGTATATAGAGTGCTTTATCACTATGGCTGACAGATAGCACTCAAACATTGTTTTTAGCTTTTTATAGTCCCTTTCAATTAATCACACCCCAAGGAGGTATATTATTTAGATGAAGGGCCCTGTCCCATGTACCTTTGTCTTCCTCATAGTAATGTATTGAAATTCCAAGTTTAGAAGGAGGAAATGCCAGTCTTCGGAGTCCCAAACCTATCATGCAGCAGCAGAGCCGACGATCCCAAATGCTTCCCTAACACTCCTAGTAAATAGGACCACTTTCTTCTCACCTCGTAGGAATACTTGGGATCATTCCTTCTTTTATTCATTATTTTTCATTCACTTACTATGTGCCAGATATTCGATGCTGGGATACAAATATTAATACACTAGACTCTAAATTAACTGAAAGCATCCAAAGGTGAATATTCCTGAGGGTCAAACAAATTCAAGAAACAGTGCTAACGATCAATGGCCTCAATCATCACTAAGTCCCTCCTAACAGCCAGCTTTACTGAGCATATAAAAATGAGTGGAGATATGGAACTTGTTCGCACAAAGTTTAAAACCCGGTAGGGTACATGAGACAAGAACCCAAATAAACAACAACAGGAAGCTGAATGTGATTAAATGGTCCCAAAATGATTTGGTTACCAAGGTGGAGAAAGTATGTTTGACAGGTGTTAAGTAGTCAGGTTTGGCTGAAGCATTTAACAGGTATTTGGTGAGAGGTGGAAACTAAGGCTGGGAAGGTGCAGTAGGTCCACATGTGGAGAAGGTCAGGTTAAGGCATGTGAATGTCATCAGGTAGCAACAGAGAGCTGCTTAACGTTGCAGAGCAAGGAATAACATTCTTAGGACTGACTGTGGAAGGGGTCTCTAGCAGCAAGTGGCAGAGCCCATAGACCACTCATGGAAGACCAATCCAAGCCTGGCACCACAACGTCAAGTTCATAGCATATAACCATATACATGTTAACAAGTTTAGTGACTAATAGATTTACAAGACCTGAGATGGAATTGAGTTTTTGGAGATCCAGCTTCAGAGGTTAGCCTAACCTATTCCGCACATATAGACTGGGCCTGAACTATTTCCAAGAAAGCTGCCTGCTATTTTAGAGTGGGGCTCAGCAAACCTTTTCCATAAAGAACCAGAGAGTAAATGTTTTAGGTTTTGCAGACCATATATTCTTTTGCAACTACTCAACTTGCTGAAGCAACAATAGACAATACATAAATGGAGCATGGCTGTATTCTAATAAAACAGGACTTGGCTGTAGTTCGCTAACCCCAAGTGTAGAGTTGGTAGTCTATTCCCAGAACCAAAGTGACCCATCCAGATACAAGTCAGCTCCAACTTCTGCCAGAGACCCAAGCCTCATCTGTCAAAGAGTAAGAAGGCTCCTTTAGATGTATGCCCTGAGGATCCACCCACCCACTGGAAGCCTGGTGAGACTAATTCTCCATCAAGCTTTGTGAAAGCTAAACCCTGGTGTTAACCTGCTCATAACTGCAAAGTTTGATGCATGTTATAGCAGAAAGGTATGGATGCCATAGTGATGTACAATGAAGTGACCTGGTTTAGTCTGAGAGGACATGGTTTATTGCTTTGGCACAGTGCCTAGCAGAGTAAGGATTTACATGTAATTGAGTAAGGAGTAAGGACAAAATTTCAAGAAAATTCTCACAAATTTAATGCAATTTATTTACTGAATAGAGGAATGTGAAATGTACAGGGAGTATTAGTAAGCAATGACAGTTTAGAAGCAAATGATTTGATTGGAAGTGATTTTAGAAGAAATCCAAAGCCCTTGCTCATAACCTTTCAGGTACCTCTTTGGAATTCTGATAACAAAAAATGTTGCAGACAGTCAAAATGGGACCCATGAAAAGCCGTGTAGCCCCAGTCAATGATCAATGTCCCCAGAACTGAGGGCCTTTACCTCTAATGCCTGCGTAGAGTTAGATTGTTTTGAGCCCTTAAACTAGTATCTGTTTTCCAGGAGATGCCTAATAGGAGAAATATCTAAAGCAAGACAAATCCAAGATGTTTGAATATTTGAAAATCAAATCAACACTGTAAATCAGCAATAATATCCCAGCAAAAATTTATCTTGATTTTCCTATGAGTGAGTAAGCTAAGATTCTTTTTGTTATAAACAGAAACATGGGAATGGAGACAAATAACTGTTTTTGCAAAAAGCATATTCTTTCCATCTAGTTCTGCAACTGAGAGAAAAAGTAATAAGAAAGCATATGGAACAAGTGTTGAAACCCAGAAGAAGAAAAATATTTTTAAAATAGCATTTATTTTTTTTTCACTAACAGAGAATAAAAATAATCTCTGTACCATCTATAACAAAGAGAAATTGTGAGTATAAAGGTAAAAAAAAAGACGTTTCAATATTTGCAGAGAAATTTCAGACTTTAGTATGCCATTTTAAGGATATAGGCTTTGGAGTCGAGTAAAATAAAGTACATTGGATGAAAAGTTTTGGGAAAAATTTTCACAGATACACCCCCACACTCATTAACAAAAAGGAGAAAAATAAAACCTGGAAAAAAGCAAAGAAATTCCCCCAAATGTCTGAGACTGTCTATCTTTTTTCTGTTCTTTCTTTTAGAGAAATTCAAATGTTGGATGGTAATGGAGCCAATCACAAATGGGAGACATTTTTTGTAGCTATTCACCTGCTTTCCAAAATGTGCTTAAAATTTAAAGACTTTTTCAGATCTACTTTTCAATACATGCTTTTAATAACTTAATTTTTAGTTCTTTACTGTACACTTACCTGCAAGATAGATTACTTAGTGTTGCTATGTGTATTCGTTCATTTTTACACTGCTGATAAAGACATACCTGAGACTGGAAAAAAAGAAGGTTTAATTTGACTTACAGTTCCACATGGCTGGGGAGGTCTCATAATCATGGTGGAGGGCAAAAGGCACTTCTTACATGGCGGCAGCAAGAAAGAATGAGGAAGAAGCAAAAGCAGAAACCCAGATAAACCCATCAGATCTCATGAGAATTAGTCACTGGACTAGCAAGAGAAAGACCAGCCCCCATGATTCAATTACCTCCCCCTGGGTCCCACGTGTTGTGGGAATTCTGGGAGATACAATTCAAGTGGAAATGTGGGCAGGGACACAGGCAAACCATATCATCCTGCCCCTGGCCCCTCCAAACCCATGTCCTCACATTTCAAAACCAATCATGCCTTCCCCACAGTTCCTCAAAGTCTTAACTCATTTCAGCATTAACCCAAAAGTCCACAGTCCAAAGTTTCATCTGAGAAAAGGCAAGTCTCTTCTGCCTATGAGCCTGTAAAATCAAAAGCAAGCTCTACTTCCTAGATACAATGGGGGTACAGGTATTTGGTAAATACAGATGTTCCAAATGGAAGTAATTGGCCAAAACAAAGGGATAACAGGACCCAGGCAAGTCTGAAATCCAGCTGGGCAGTCAAATTTTAAAGCTCTAAAATGATCTCCTTTGACTCCAGGTCTCACACCCAGGTCACACTGATGCAAGAGGTGAGTTCCCATGGCCTTGGGCAGCTCCACTCCTGCGGTTTCACAGGGTACAGCCTCCCTTCTGGCTGCTTTCATGAGCTGGCGTTGAGTGTCTGTGACTTTTCCAGGTGCATGGTACAAGCTGTTGGTGGATCTACCATTCTAGGGTCTGGAGGATGGTGACCCTCTTCTCACAGCTCCACTAGATGGTGCCCCAGTAGGGACTCTATGTGGAGGCTCCAACCCCATATTTCTCTTCTGCACTGCCCTAGCAGAGGTTCTTCATGAGGGCCCCATACCTGCAGCAAACTTTTGCCTGGGCATCCAGGCATTGCCATACATTTTCTGAAATCTAGGCAGAGGTTCCCAAACCTCAGTTCTTAACTTCTGTGTACCCGCAGGCTCAACACGACATGGAAGCTGCCAAGGCTTGGGGCTTCCACCCTCTGAAGCCACAGCCTGAGCTTTATGTTGGCCCCTTTCAGCCACGGCTGGAGCAGCTGAAACACCGGGCACCAAATCTCTAGGCTGCACACACCACAGGGACCCTGTGCCTAGCCCGGGAAACCATATTTTCCTCCTAGGCCTCTGGGTCTGTGATGGGAGGGCCTGCCATGAAGGTCTCTGACATGGCATGGAGACATTTTCCCCATGGTCTTGGGGATTAACATTAGGCTCCTTGCTACTTATGTAAATTTCTGCAGCTGGCTTGAATTTCACTTCAAAAAAATGGGTTTTTCTTTTCTACTGAATCGTCAGGCTGCAAATCTTCTGAACTATTATGCTCTGTTTCCCTTTTAAAATGGAATGCTTTGTTCGTTTGTTTGTTTTGTTTGAGATGCAGTGTCGCTCTGTCGCCCAGGCTGGAATACAGTGGCTCAATCTGGGCTCACTGCAACCTCTGCCTCATGGGTTCAAGCGATTCTCTTGCCTCAGCCTCCTGAGTAGCTGGGACTACAGGTGCACCCCACCACACCTGGCTAAATTTTTTTGTATTTTTAGTAGAACCGGGGTTTCACCATGTTGGTCAGGCTGGTCTCGATCTCCTGACCTGATGATCCTCCCGCCTTGGCCTCCCAAAGTGCTGGGATTACAGGTGTAAGCCACAGCGCCTGGCCAGAATGCTTTTAACAGCACCTATGTCACATTTAAATGCTTTGCTGCTTAGAAATTTCTTCCTCCAGTTACCCTAAATAGTATCTCTCAAGTTCAAAGTTCCGCAAATCTCTAGGGCAGGGGCAAAATGTCACCAGTCTCTTCGCTAAAATATAACCAGAGTCACCTTTACTCCAGTTCCCAATGAGTTCCTCATCTCCATCTAAGACCAGCTCAACCTGGATCTTATTGTTCATATCATCAGTGTTTTGGTGAAAGCCATTCAACAAGTCTCCAGGAAATTCCAAACTTTCCTACATTTTCCTTTCTTCTTCTGAGCCCTCCAAACTGTTTCAACTTCTGGCTGTTACCAAGTTCCAAAGTCGCTTCCACATTTTCAGGTATCTTTTCAGCAATGTCCCACTCTACTGGTACCAATTTGCTGTATTAGTCTGTTTTCAAGCTGTTGATAGAGACATACCCTAGACTGGGAAGAAAAAGAGGTTTAATTGGACTTACAGTTCCACATGGTTGGGGGAGGCATCAGAATCATGGCAGGAGGTGTAAGGCATTTCATACATGGTGGCAGTAGGAGAGAATGAGGAAGAAGCAAAAGTGGAAACCCTTGATAAACCCATCAGATCTCATGAGACTTATTCACTGTCACAAGAATAGCATGGAAAGACCAGGCCCGGTGATTCAATTACCTACCCCTGGGTCCCTCCCACAACACGTGGGACTTCTGGGAGATACAATTCCAGTTGAAATTTGTGCAGGGACACAGCCAAACCATATCACTGTGATATTTTAATGATATGATGTACATAAAGCATGAAATATGTGTAAAGTATAAAATGCCTCACCATCATCATGTATAGGAATAAAATGATATGAAAAGAGAGATAATCCTCTTTAACAGACATGAAAAGTTTAAGCTGCTAGAAGAAGGGTCAACAGTAGGATGTGATAAGCCCAAGAGAGGTTATTTTGATAAGTTTTCTGCAAACGGGAAAGATCCTTCACTGACATAAAGTTCAATGATACTCTTTTCCCTCTTTTGTGAAGCAGTTTATAGCAGATTTCCACCCTTCTCATTTTTCCACACCCTTTCTAGGGAGCAATGTTCTTTAATCAGCAGCTGCCACAATCTAACTGGTTTTCATATTGAGCTCCAGACACAGCCTGTACCACCTTGCCAGAATCTGCAGGAAATTTCCAGGCCTGTCAGGACACAGCAGATCCTTTCTAGGTCATTTTGGCAGTTCTTGGCCCAAGCTGCATGCCAGTTAGTCTGCAGGCTGCTCTTTCTTTTCAGTCATTGGAACCATGCTCCCATTTCAGGGATCTCTCAGAAACCCTGTGACTGGAAAACCAAATGAGGAAAATGCTCAATGTTTGTTATCAATCTGGATCTCAAATGTGCTTGGCATAATCTACCTGAATCCTTAGAATATTATTTTCAGGGTAGGAAATACAAATGTGAATATTTTACAAGATAGAGAAGTAACTAGTTTCATGCTGTGATTTAGAAGGGGAAATTATAAGGGATTACTGAAATAAAACCAGGTTTATTGATTCCAGAGGCTGCATTAGCACTATACATTTCTATTCTCTCAAACTTGCTGAAACTGGTCTGCATATTTCATCTTGTAATACCAAAAATTTAAATGCATTGTTCTAGGATGTTTGTATTATTGGTTTAATTCAAGTTGCAAACTGCAAATGGGACTATATTTCTAACACTGCTATAATGAAGTGAAGAGGACTGAATTGTTGGAGCAGATGTGGGAGATATTCAAAGATTTGGGTCCCTGAGGCAGGACTTTAAAGAGATGCTGAAATTTCTAATGCACTGGGGAAAATGTTCCTAGAGTCACTTTACAGGGCAGCCTTGCATCAGCAGTTCATCCCTGGGAGGCTCTTTATGAGAGGACACCTCTGTCCAACATAATGTGGATTTCCCCTCAAGCAAATTTGATCTGGAGGAAAATCCCCCAGATTAGCGAGCACATTCATTTCAGATCATTCATCTTACACCAGGTGAAACCACTACCAATACTATTGTGCTGTGTGTGCAAACTACTTCTTAGGTAAAAATGCTGGCAAAAATATTAAGGTGTGCAAAGAGGTTGACACCTCAAGACAAATGTTTCACTCTATCATGCGCCCAACTTTAAAGAGAAACACTCTTTTTCCAACTCCATTTCCTCCTACTAAGAATGAACTTTCTCAGCCGGGCACGGTGGCTCACACCTGTAATCCCAGAACTTTGGGAGGCTGAGGCGGGCGGATCACGAGGTCAAGAGATCGAGACCATCCTGGTCAACATGGTGAAACCCCGTCTCTACTAAAAAAATACAAAAATTAGCTGGGTGTGGTGGCAAGCAACTGTAGTCCCAGCTGCTCAGGAGGCTGAGGCAGGAGAATCACTTGAATCCAGGAGGCAGAGGTTGCAGTGAGCAGAGATCACACCACTGCACTCCAGCCTGGTGACAGAGTGAGACTCTGTCAAAAAACAACAAAAAACAGAACTTTCTCCAGGCCCTCAACCCTCAGCAGGGACCACAACAAAAGCTCATGCCAGCAGATGCTGAGCAGGATGACTTCCTGATTCTGACACTCAGGGAGAAGAGAGAACCCCTGGAAATGTCCCTCACCCTGAAGAGTGGTGCTGTCACGGTGTCGTTCTGGCTCTTTCCACTACCTACCTCCATTAGCAATTTCTTCTTTTAAAGAAGGGCATATGTCTCTTACATCCTGAAGTTAACAATGACCCCCTTCCCTGGAGGGAAATAACCTCCCAGGGTGGCAAACCTGAGAGGTTATGATTCAAAATATGAATATATGATTCAAAATATTCGTGGATCTGGTCAAAGTAATAGGGACCAGATATATTCTCTGCCTGAAACAACAGCAAAATACATTAATCAACAGGTGATCTCTGAGGGATGGGAAACAAACAAGATAAGCCCTACAACTGCCCCAGCTAACAGCCTTGAGAGAGTTTCTAGGCTGCGGTGCCGGGAGGCAGAACTGAGGTGGGTTCCCTAACATGAGGAGATGAAGCTTGGTCCTGGAAGACCTGGGCAGTGAGAGTTCACAGGGGAGAGTTCCAGAGAGGAGAGAGCTGCACAGACAGCCAACTCCAGAGATCTGCAGAGGGACTCTGATGGGAATCAGCACATGAGTGAGGAAGCTACCCAGGAAAGAATCATCAAAAGAGGGAACAGAGACGGTGCTGATGCTGGCCTGGAAAAAATGCCTGCTCCCACCAAGCAGACAGGAAAAACATAATGCTCAAGGCAGTGGGCAAAGTTCTCAGGAATATTTTGCCTCACAAGTGAAGAATAATTAACCTTAGACTGGGCTCTGTTTCAGAAATGCCTAAAAATCACAAGAGTAAGACCTGAAAACAGCGAAATGTTTCAAGTAACTTAACTGTATAGTAAAACAAAGCTCAAGAAAATCTATGGAAATACAAAAATTTTCATTGCCCAACAATATCTGTCATGTAATAAAAGACTACCAGGCAGGCAAAGAGGCAAGAACACATAACTCATAATGCAGAGAAGAATCACTCAATTAAAATCCACCTAGAACTGACGCAGATGTTAGAATTAGCAGAGAAGGATATTGAAAGAGTTCTTATTTACCAAAAACTTGTAGAAAAATGTTCCTTGCAGCTTTATTCATGATTGCTAAAAACCAAAAACAATCTATGTGTTTATACATTTGAACAAAGAGAACTACTTAGTGATAAAAAAAGATTTTCAAAGAAGCACGTCAACATTCATGAATCTCAAAAACATCATGCTAAGTGAAGAAAGCAAAACATAAAAAATTACATATCATATGATTCCACTTATTTGAGATTCTTGAGCAGATAAAACTGTTTTGTGATGGTAGAAATCAGATCAGTGGTTACTTTTGGAGTGAAGGAATCTGTTGAGAAATAATGCAAGGAAACTTTTAGGTAAGGAAATAGTTTCTAAATTGGTAGATGTGTGAGTTACAGGGAAGTAGGCATGGTAAAAATTGATCATACTATACAAACTGGGCATTTCATTCGATAAAAATTTTAAATTTTCACAGTTCAATAGAAAAATAGGCACTTTATGTAGTGCAAATTAAATAACCAATAATAAAGAAAAATATGTTCAGCATCATTAGAATTCAGGAAAATAATTAACTAGAACCACAGTGAGACTCCATTTTGCACCCACCAACTTGGTGATATTTTAAAATTTGACACCATTTGATCGCACACTCTGCTGATCCAATATATATTGGAGCAACTGCTTTGGGAAACATTTGGCTTACTTAGTAATAAAGAAATCCATTCCCTGTTCCCTGAAATGTCACTCCTTGAAATATTTCTTAAAAAAAGTCTTAAGCCTTAAAGACTTGTAGATCTTGTTCATAACAGCAGTGTTTGTGACAACAAAAATTTGAAAACCTGAAGATTTACTTATAGAATTGTAAGCCAAGTGTAAAATTCTAAGCCTCCCAATAAGCTGAATGGACCCTTCTTCCTGGGCAAGGGCATTCTAAAGTAAACCTGAAATACTAGCTCAGGCCATGATGGGAATGGGTGGTTGGACATGCTTCATTATACCTTTCTCTCTTTGAAATTCAGGCACAGCTGACTAATATTAATATTAGTCATTAACATTAACATGAACATTAACACAGAGACCTTAAAACTGACAAAACAGACTCCCTGTAGCAATAAGATACCAGCATGACAGACAGCAGGCCCTAAAAAAATCAAGCATCTTTTCACGCAAAATGTATTTCTTTGACATATTTTGAAATGGCCCTGCAAAGCTTTCTCTTGTGGGGAAGATCTACATTCTGTAGGGTATTCTCTTCCCTTTCCAGGTTTTTTTTTTCCGTTTCAGGAGAGAATTAACTAAGAGTCTGACACCCTTTAAGCCTGATAAGAAACATTTACAATCTATTCTTTCTATGTCCTGCTACCGAAGGCTTCATCTGCATAAGAACCTTGGTTTCCACAGCTCCTTATCTCAACCCAGCCACTCTCTTCAACTGATTCCAGGTCTTTAGTGAAACTCTTTCAACCAATTGCCAATCAGAACATCTTTGAATCCACCTATGACCTGGAGGCCCCACCCCCCACCCAGCTTCAAGGTGTCCTGCCTTTCTGGCCAAACGAATGCACATCTTAATGTATTGATTGATATCTTAGGTCTCCCTAAAATGTATAAAATCAAGCTCAAGCTACAGCCTGACCAACTTGGGCACATGTTCTCAGGATCTCCTGGGGCTGTGTCACTCATGGGTCATGGTTCTTGTATTTGGCTCTTCAATATTTTACAGAGTTTGACCCTTTTAGTCAGCAATAATTATGGATAAATAGTGATATAGTCAAACATGGGTTGAATACATTCATAAGGAAGTAGGATTTAACAAATTTCAGCTACATAAATACATACATGAATCTCAAGGGTATAAAGCTGAGTGGGAAAACTAAGTTTCCAAAGTGTGATTTCATCTGTATGTGTCTCAAAAACATGCATAAAAAAACTGTATAATGTTTAGAGGCACAAATACGTGTAAACAATAAAGACAAGAAAGAAAATAACACAATCATAAACATGGAGTTTGAGAAGGGAATAGAATTGGGGAAGGACATAATACAAAGGTGTCCACTCTATTGTATTCTTTAATGTAGTCTAATAGGTGTCCACTCAATTGTATTCTTTAATATAGTCTTTAATATTTATATATAGTCTACTGAAGTTATTTTTTGTCCACTTAATATTTTATATGGTTTGGCTGGGTCCTCACCCAAATCTCACGTTGAATTGTAGTTCCCATAATCCTCATGTGTTATAGGAGCGCCCTGGTGGGAGGTAATTGAATCATGGGGATGGTTACCCTCATGCTGTCTTTGTAATAGTGAGTTCTCACAAGATGTGATGGTTTCATAAGGGCTTTTTCCCCGTTTGCACAGCACTTCTCTCTCCTGTGAAGAAGAATGTGTTTACTTCCCCTTCTGCCATGCTTGTAAGTTTCCTGAGGCTTTCTCAGCCAAGTGGAACTATGAGTCAATTAAAACTCTTGCCTGTTTAAATTACCTAGTGTCAGGTATTTCTTCATAGTAGCATGAGAAGGAAATAGTACAATAAATTGGTACCACATAGAGTGGGGCACTGCTGTAAAGATACCTGAAAATGTGGAAGTGACTTTGGAACTGGGTAACAGGAGAGGTTGGAACAGTTTAGAGGGCTCAGAAGAAGATAGAAAAATGTGGGATGATTTGGAAGTTCCTAGAGACTTGGAGGGCTCAGAAGACAGAAAGATGTGGGGAAGTTTGGAACTTCCTAGAGACATGTCGAATGATTTTGGCCAAAATGCTGATAGTAATATGGGCAATGAAGTCCAGGCTAAGGTGGTGTGAAGTAAAGAACTTGTTGGGAAGTGGACTAAAGGTCACTCTTGCTATGCAAGAATGAAGGCCTTGTTTGGAACTGGAGTAAAGGCTACTCTTGCTATGCAAAGAGACTGGCAGCAGTTTGCCCCTGTTCTAGAGATCTGTAGAACTTTGAACTTGAGAGAGATGATTTAGAATATCTGGCAGAAGAAATTTCTAAGCAGCAAAGCATTCAAGAGGAAGTGGAACATAAAAGGCTGGAAAATTTACAGCCTGATGATGCAGTAGAAAAGAAAAACCCATTTTCTAGGGAGAAATTGAAGCCAGCTGTAGAAATTTGCATAAGTAATGAGGAATCAAATGTTAATCACGAAGACAATGGGGGAAATGCCTCCAGGGCATGTTAGAGAACTTCATGGCAGCCCCTCCAATCCTGGAGGCCTAGGAGGGAAAAGTGATTTTGTGGGCCAGGCACAGGGCCCCCCTGCTCTATGTAGCCTCAGGACATGGTGCCCTTTGTCCCAGCTGTTTCAGCTCAAGATATAGCTGAAAGGGAGCAACATACAGTTTAGGACATTGCTTGAGAGGGTGCAAACTCCAAGCCTTGGTGGCTTACATGTGGTCTTGGGGCTGTGGGTGCACAGAAGTTGATAATTGATGTTTGGAAACCTCCACCTGTATTTCAGAGGATGTATGCAAATGCCTGGATGTCCAGGCAGAAGTCTGCTGCAGGGGTGGAGCCCTCACGCTGAACCTCTGCCAGGGTAGTGTGGAAGGGAAATGCAGGGTTGGAGCCCCCACACAGAGTCACCACTGGAGCACTGCCTAGTGGAGCTGTGAGAAGAGGGCCACCATCCTCCAGACCCCAGAATGGTAGATCCACTGACAGCTTGCACAGTGTGCCTGGAAAAGCCACAGACACCCAATGCCAACATGTGAAAGCAGCCAGGAGGGGGCTGCACCCTGCAAAATCACAGGGTTGGAGCTGGCCAAGGCCATTGGAACCCACCTCTTGCATCAGCATGCCATGGATGTGAGACCTGGCATCAAAGGAGATCATTTTGGAACTTCAAGTTTTAATGACTGCCCTATTGGATTTTGGGCTTGCATGTGGCCTATAGCCACTTTGTTTCGGCCAGTTTCTCCCATTTGGAATGATTATATTTACCCAATGCCTGTATCCCCACTATATCTAGGAAGTAACTAACTTGCTTTTGATTTTACAGGCTCATAGGTAGAAGGGACTTGCCTTGTCTCAGATGAGACTTTGGACTTGGGTTAATTCTGGAATGAGCTAAGACTTTGGGGGACTGTTGGAAAGGCATGACTGGTTTTCAAATGTGAGGACATGAGATTTGGGAGGGACCAGCTGTGGGATGATATTGTTTGTGTCCTTAGTCAAATCTCACCCTGACTTTTAGTTCCCATAATCCACATGTGTCATAGGAGAGATCCAGTGAAAGGTGATTGAATCATGGGAGCAGTTACTATAATGCTATTCTCATGATAGTGAGTAAGTTCTCTGAGATCTGAAGGTTTTATAAAGGGTTTTTCCCCCTTTGCTCAGCACTTCTCTCTCCTGCCACCTTGTGAAGAAGGATGTTTTTGCTTCCCCTTCTGCCATGATTGTAAGTTTCCTGAGGTCTCCTCAGCCATGCAGTGCTGTGAGTCAATTAAACGAATTTCCTTTATTAATTATCCAGTCTCTGGTACTTCTTTGTAGAAGCATGAGAAGGAACTAACAATATTTAACACAAAATTTACTAAAAATGTGTACCAAAAGGAATATAGAAGCGTTGACCAAAGAATGTGAGATAGAATGCTGCATATGTAACTTTTTATTATCAATGACAACCTCAAAATCTTTATAAAACTTAATTACAAATCTGCCAAATTCTTAATGTAGAAATTTCCCATTTAGAATTATAAGATCACCTTGTAATAAAGGCAGAACTGGAGGGCTGTTAGTGAATAATATTGTTTATAAAACAATGCACCCAGATAAATGTCAAGGTATTATAAAAAGTATTGTTTATTATCAGCTCATAATTAATTGAATGCCCTGTGGAGGCAAGCCAATGTAGTATAAAGGTTTTTTGACATTTCTATAAAGATGTTCATTTGATCTGCTGTTTCACAACATTCTGCTATTCTACTGGGTTATGTGCAAGTAGAATTCATCTTTCCTGCATAACCTTTCAAAGTCATCAGAATTAAATAGGGAATGACTTCGGAGGGACAGAAAGCAGCATATAAAGTCCCATTTTAAAACACTTACTATTCAAATTCAAAACCTTATTCCTTTCTTTCTGAGTACTAATGTATGCTCAGTTCATTCATGTATACAAACATGCAAGAGATATCTGGAACTGTATCTGAATCTGAATAATAGGTTGCTTGTGAAGGGAAACAAGTTCTATTCTGACCTTTTAGCCTTGCCCAATACCAAAATCTTCATGTGGAGAGCTACCTAGATTCAGGATCCCACAGCCTGACTGACTTGCCAAGTATTGGCCCAAAAGAAAGAGAAAAACTGTACAGTGTGGTCTGGTTTGCCTAACACTGCTCCAGGGACACCCCTAGCCCTGCAAGCCTGGGAGAATAGCTGCCTGCACTCTGAGCTGCTGAGCAAGGGTGGGTAGATTTTGGGAGGAGAAATGTGACCTGTCTTATGAAATTAGTTCACATTTCTGCCCTAAATTTTGCCTGTTCAATAGATTTTTTATTTTTTTTCTATAATTCAAAAGCAATTAACATGAAGGCTGCGTTCAGAGACATAGAGGCTATTTAAATACATTATTTACTCTGTTACTAACAGGGATTCTACTGCCTCCCCTATCTTCACATAAGTCCAGAGATGTTCTCCCTAGATGTGTAAT
Source organism: Homo sapiens (assembly GCF_000001405.40). NCBI lineage: Eukaryota > Metazoa > Chordata > Mammalia > Primates > Hominidae > Homo > Homo sapiens. The sequence goes on along the minus strand of NC_000012.12, from coordinate 30,270,558 downwards.
GAAGCCCCTTCACTTCCTTCTGATCCTGTCATCTCAAGAAGGAAACAAATCAGATGGCCAAGACAGGAATTAAAAACAGAGCTATGGGCCAAGGCTGTTCCCCCATGAGAACAATAAATGCTTGCTGCTCTCAGGTACATTTGGAAACCTCCTTCTCTTTGCTCTGCACACACTACTAATATCCCAAAGATTTTTGAAACCATTGAAGCTTTAACTCCTAAATCCTAAAAATCGCAGCCTGGTTAAGTGCTGGGCATACAACATATAATGGTTCCAAGCTATTCTGAAAAAATCTCTGAGCATAGGCAGCATGTAAGGAACGATCCCTCAGAACAGGTCAGAAAGGTCTAGAAACCAAGTCACTTAAGACAATATCACCAACATAGAAACATTTAAAGAGGGGAAACTTGTTTCTACTGAGAAATTAAATGTAAAATTAAAGGATTATCCCTTTCCAAAAATCTACTTTTGTATAATTACTATCAAATGTATTAAGGAGACAATAACTTAGGTAAACATAAAACAGGCCAACAGGCAATCTTCTGTATAACCTTCCAGGAGACACTGTTAAACACCACAGGGGTGCAATGCTGTATTCCTCCCAGTAAGCAAGGATTATTGCTAAGTGCCATTAAATTGCACAAAATATCAAAATACAGTGAGGAACCCATAACCCATAATGTCCCAGGATCTCTGTATCTGAAGAAATTTGCTGCTTCATTTATTGTTTGTGTTATGAGCAAAACAAAAGGCCCTGCATGATCAAAACAAAAAGATGACAAAGAGGAAAACAGTTCAGTGTTATGCCTGACCAACTGGCCCCAGACCAATTGCCTGAAATGCAAAGTCTGAAAGTTTACATATTGCATGTACAGCTGTGGCTTACAGTGAAACAAAACTCCCAACTCTTGGCACAAAGTTTAGCTATTTGTGGAGTGTAGAGTAAAGCTTTATTTGAAGCTTATCTTATGAGTGCATTTATCAGTTTCCATTGAAATAGTGAGTTGCAAGCAGAGTATTGTCTGACCACACAGTCAGCATTAAGTATGTTTGTCCTAGTTTAAGAGTAGAAAATCTTTTAAATGATTCTAGAAGCTTCATCACAGAAACAAAAATAATTTTTCATTGAAATTCTAGGGCACACAGTAAGAAAATGACACAATATAGTGACTTAAAAGTCAGGCTGCATTTTTACATATAGCCCCTAAGACTTTTTAGCCTTGGAAGGAAAGAATTGATAATAGAGCAGACATTGTGAGTTCAGGTGGAGGTGGAGAGGGTTAAGACAATGAAAACCTCAACAATAACGGCCAAAAGACCCACCCTGCATGTCTGAAATTGGGAAGAGTGGGAAGGAGCCTTAAAATTCATCCAACGCACTCATTTTATAAATCAGGATAAAAAAATACCGAAGGGATTAACTGACTTTCTAATCCCTAGGATTTTGACACAGATTTTCTTACTCCAAATCCTTCAGACCCACTTTTAATCCATCCCGGCCCAACAAAACACAGATGCTGGAGGCAAACTGCAAAGGTTGAAGGCCTGACTCCTTGACTTGTTAGTTATAGGCCTTAAGTTGCTTAGCTCTCTGTCTTTTAGTTAAATAATAATACCTAGCACATAGAATTCTTGTGAGGATTAAATGAGCAAAGGTAAGGAAAATGCTTTTATGGTACTGTGCACATAGTGTTATAGTTTATATGGTTAGCAATGATTACCTTTAATATCATTATTAATTATAGGGACATAAGGAAAATGGCAGAAAGGCAAATTATGATTTTAAACACTGCTTTCAATTTTAAAAGTGGTAGAGAAGCTGTCTTCACCAGTAAGGCCGAAGCATAAAAATGTGACGACTCAGCTGGGCCCGGTGGCTCACGCCTGTAATCCCTGCACTTTGGGAGGCCTGAAGCGGAAGGATCACCTGAGGTCAGGAATTCGAGATCAGCCTGGCCAACATGATGAAACCCCGTCTCTACTAAAAATAAAAAAAATTAGCTGGGTGTGGTGGTGGGCGCCTGTAATCCCAGCTACTTAGGGGGCTGAAGCAGGAGAATCACCTGAACCTGGGAGGCAGAGGTAGCAGTGAGCCAAGATTGTGCCACCCACTCTCCAGCCTGGGCAACAAGAGCAAAACTCGGTCTCAAAAAAAAAAAAAAGAAAAAGAAAAAAGAAAAAAAATGTGACCGCTCTTCAATTCTTTACAGTTGCTTGGAGACAATAAGTTATTCTCTTCCTGCCAGAAAGCCACAGGCATTTATTAAAAACATTCTTAAATTCAAGACCAAGGGTTGGGGAAAGAGAAGGGAAACAAATTGGCAGTGTTCTGTAAGACCAAAGATGACAGTCATATGAAGCAGTGAGGAAACTTGATTTTAGAATATGCTGGCTTTCCACAAAGATCATTGGTAGGTTAAGGATTGTGCTGGGTTTCCTTCAGAGATTCATGATGAAGGTATTTCCTAGGAGAGAGGCACCTTTCAGTAGAGGTCCATAAAAGCTGCCAGAGTCAATAGCCTTCTATGTTCATTTGCTTGATTGTGGTAATCACATCATAGTGTATACATACATCAAACCATCACATTATACAGCTTAAATATATACAATTTTTGTTTGTCTATTATACTTCAATAAATTTAGGGGGAAAAAGATGGTATTGTGCCAATCACATTACTTCATATGCACTTTATAGATTCATTTTGGTGTCATCTGTTCTTTTACTTGAACAATTATTATAATCTAAATATTTTGCCATATGATAATTATTATTCCAGAGTTTGTTATCTGATGGAACTGCAGTGTTAGAAAACTAGAGTACAAATCAATAATTTAAAAAGAAATTTAAAAGTGAGAAAATTTTACAAGCAGCTCTAAACTATTGTTACGATATGCCATACTGTTTTTATTTTTATTTTTGTGGGCACATAATTGGTATATATATTTATGAGGTAAATGAGATATATTAATACAAGCATCCAATGTGTAATAATCACATCAGGGTAAATAGAGTATCCATCACCAGAAGTATTTATCCCTTTGTTATAAATAATCCAATATACTCTTTTAGTTATTTTTACATGTACAATTTAATTATTATTGACTATAGTCACCCTGTGGTGCTATCAAATACTAGGTCTTATTCATTCTTTCTAATTTTTTTGGACCTATTAATCATCTCTACTTCTTTCCCAACCTCCCACTACCCTTCCCAGTACCTGGTAATCATCTTTCTATTCGCTATCTCCATAAGTTCAATTGTTTTGATATTTAGCTCCCACAAATAAGTGAAAGCATACAAAGTTTGCCCTGCTGTGCCTGGCTTATTTCACTTAATATAATGACCTTCAGTTCCAACCATGTTGTTGCAAATGACCGAATCTCATTCTTTTTTATGGCTGAGTAGTACTCCATTGTGTATATGTACCACTTTTTTTTTTTTATCCATTCATCTGTTGAGGGACACTAAAATTGCTTCCAAATCTTGGCCATTCTAAATAATGCTTCAATAAACGTGGAAGTGCAGATATCTCTTCGATACACTGATTTCCTTTATTTTGGGTATATACCTAGCAGTGGCATTGATGGATTATATGGTAGCTCTATTTTTAGTTTTTTGAGGAACCTCCAAACTGTTGTACATAGCAGTTGTGTTAATTTACAGTCCCACCAACAGTGTAACGAGGCTTCCCTTTCTCCACATCCCTGCCAGTATTTGTTATTATATGGGTAAAAGCCATTTATTAATTAATTAACTAAGTTCCGGGGTACATGTGCAGGATGTGCAGGTTTGTTACATAGGTAAACGTGTGCTTGGACAAAAGCCATCTTAACTGGGGTGAGTTGACATTGTAGGTTTGATTTGAATTTCTCTGATGATTAGTGATGTTGAGCACCTTTTCATATGCCTGTCTGTCATTTGTATGTCTTTTGAGAAATGTGTATTCTGATCTTTTGTCCATTTTTTAATTGGATTACTAGATTTTTTTTCCCTCAGAAATTTTTTGAGCTCCTTATATATTCTGATGTAAATACCTTTTCAGATTGGTAGTGTGCCAATATTTTCTCCCATTCTGTGGGATGTCTCTTCACATTGTTGTTTCATTTGTTATGCAGAAGCTTTTTAACTTGATGTGATCATATTTGTCCATTTTTGCTTTGGTTGCCTGTGCTTGTGGGATATTACTCAGGAAATTTTTGCCTAGACCAACATCCTGAAGATTTTCCCCAATGTTTTCTTTTAGTAGTTTCATAGTTTGAGGCCTTAGATTTAAGTCTTTAAATCCATTTTGATTTGATTTTTGTATGTGGCAGGAGATAGGGGTCTAGTTACATTCTTCTGCATATGTATATCCAGTTTTCCCAGTATAATTTATTGAAAAGACTGTCCTTTCCCCAATGTATGTTCTTGGCATATTCATCAAAAATGAGTTCACTGTAGATGTATGAATTCGTTTATGGTTTCTCTATTCTGTTTTGCTGGTCTATGGGTCTGTTTTTATGCCAACACCATGCTGTTTTGGTTGCTATAGCTCTGCAGTATAATTTGAAGTCAGAAAATGTGATTCCTCTAGTGTTGTTCCTTTTGCTCAGGAAAGCTTTGGCTATTCTTGGCCTTTGTGGTTTTATATAAATTTCTGGAATTTTTTTTCTATTTCCTTTTTTTTCTTTCTTTATTTTTTTTGAGATGGAGGCTTGCTCTGTTGCCCAGGCTGGAGTGCAGTGGTATGATCCTGGCTCACTGCAATCTCCACCTCCTGGGTTCAAGCAATTCTCATGACTCTGCCTCCTAGTAGCTAGGATTACAGGCGTGCACCACCACACCCGGCTAATGTTTGTATTTTTAGTAGAGACGGGGTTTCACCATGTTGGCCAGGCTGGTCTTCAACTCCTGACCTCAGGTGATCTGTCCGCCTCTGCTTCCCAAAGTGCTGGGATTGCAGGCATGAGCCATCATGCCCAGCTGTTTTTTCTATTTCTATGAAGAAAGTTACTGGTATTTTGATAGGGATTACATTGAATTTATAGTTTGCTTTGGATAATATGGACATTCTAACAACATTAGTTCTTCCAGTCCATAAACATGAACTATCTTTCTATATTTTGGTGCCCTCTTTAATTTCTTTCATGAGTGTTTTATACTTTTCTTTATAGAGGGGCTTTTGCTTCCTTGGTCAAGTTAATTCTTATATACTTAGTTTTATTTGTGGCTATAGTAAACAGGATTACTTTCTTGATTCTTTTTTCAGATTGTTCACTGTTGGCATAAAGAAATGCTAATGATTTTTGTATGCTGATTTTGTATCCTGCACCTTTACTGAGGAATTTATTAGTTCCAATAGAGTTTTGGTGGAGTCTTCAGGTTTTTCTAAATATAAGATTATATCATCTCCAAACAAGGATAATTTGACTTTTTCCTTTCCAATTTGGATGCCCATTATTTCTGTCTCTTGTCTGATTGCTCTAGCTAGGACTTCCAATACTATGTTGAATAACAGTGGTGACAGTGAACATGCTTATCTTTTTCTAGGTCTTAGAGGAAAGGCTTTCAGTTTTTTCCCATTTGGTATGATACTAGCTACAGGTCTGTCATACATAACTTTTATAATGTTGAAGTGTTCCTCCTATATCCAGTTTTTTGATGATTTTTGTAATGAAAGGTATTTAATTTTATCAAATGCTTTTTCAGCATCAATTGAAATAAGCATATGATTTTTGACCTTCATTCTGTTGATATGATGTACCACATCAATTAATTTGAAATTGTATTAGTCCTTTTTCATGCTGCTGATAAAGACGTACCTGAGACTGGGAAGAAAAAGAGGTTGGACTTACAGTTCCACCTGGCTGGGGATGCCTCAGAATCATGGAAGGAGGTGAAAGGCACTTCTTACATGGTGGCAGCAAGAGAAAATGAGAGCGAAGCAAAAGCAGAAACCCCGATAAACCCATCAGATCTCATGAGAATTATTCACGAGAATAGCCTGGGAAAGACTGGCCCCCATGAGTCAATTATCTTGCCGTGGGTCCACTCCCCAACACCTGGAATTCTGGGAGATATAATTTAAGTTGAGATCTGGGTGGGGACACAGCCAAACCATAGCATTTCACCCCTGGCCCCTCCAAATCTCATGTCCTCACATTTCAAAACCAATCATGCATTCCCAGCAGTCCCCCAAAGTCTTAACTCATTTCAACATTAACCAAAAAGTCCACAGTCCAAAGTTTTGTCTGAGAAAAGGCAAGTCCCTTCCACCTATGAGCCTGTAAAATCCAAAGCAAGATAGTTACTTCCTAGATACAATGGGGGTACAGGTATTGGGTAAATACAGCCATTCAAAATGGGAGAAATTGGCCAAAACAAAAGGTTTACAGGGCCCAAGCAAGTCCAAAATCCAGTGGGTCAATCAAATTTTAAAGCTCCAAAATGATCTCCTTTGACTCCAGATCTCACATCCAGGTCATGCTGATGTAAGGGGTGGGTTCACATGGTCTTGGGCAGCTCTGCCTCCGTGGCTCTGCAGGGTACAGCCTCCCTCCTGGCTGCTTTCACGGGCTGGCATTGAGTGTCTGCGGCTTTTCCACGTGCACGGTGCAAGCTGTCGGTGAATCTACCATTCTGGGGTCTGGAAGATGGTAGCCCTCTTCTCACAGCTCCACTAGGCAGTGCTTCAATAGGAATTCTGTGTGGGGGATCTGACCCCACATTTCCCTTCTGCACTGTCCTAGTAGAGGTTCTCCATGAGGGCACTGCCCCTGTAGCAAACTTTTGCCTGGGTATCTAGGCATTTCCATACATTTTCTGAAATCTAGGTGGAGGTTCCCAAGCCTCAGTTATTGACTTCCGTGCAGCTGCAGGCTCAACACAACACTGGAGTGGCTGGGCCACAGGACATCAAATCCCTAGGCTGCACACAGCATGGAGAGGCCGGACCCAGCCCATGAAACAACATTTTCCTCCTGGGCCTATGGGCCTGTGATGGGAGGGCCTGCTGTGAAGGTCTCTGACATGGCCTGGAGACATTTTTCTCATGGTGTTGGGGATTAACACTAGGCTCCTTGCTACTTATGCAAATTTCCACAGCCAGCTTGAATTTCTTCTCAGAAAAATGGGTTTTTCTTTTCGATCACATATTCAGGCTGCAAATTTTCCAAACTTTATGATTTGCTTCCCTTATAAAACCGAATACCTTTAACAGCACCCAAGTCACCTTGTGAATGCTTTGCTGCTTAGAATTTTTTTTCTTCCAGATACCCAAAATCATCTCTCTTAAGTTCAAAGTTCCACAAATCTTTAGGGCAGGGGCAAAATGTAACCAGTCTTTTTGCTAAAACATAACTAGTGTCACCTTTGCTCTAGTTCCCAACAAGTTTCTCATCTCCATCTGAGACCACCTCAGCCTGGACCTTATTGTTCATATCACTATCAGCGTTTTGGTCAAAGCCATTCAACAAGTCTCTAGGAAGTTCCAAACTTTCCCACATTTTCCTGTCTCCTTCTGAGCCCTCCAAACTGTTACAGCCTCTGCCTGTTACCCAGTTCCAAAGTCACTTCCACACTTTCAGGTGTCTTTTCAGCAATGCCCTATTCTACTGGTACCAATTTACTGTATTAGTCCATTTTCACACTGCTGATAAAGACATACCCAAGACTGGGAAGTAAAAGAAGTTTAATTGGACTTACAGTTCCACGTGGCTGGGGAGGCCTCAGAATCATGGCAGGAGGTGAAAGGCACTACTTCCATGATGGTGGCAAGAGAAAAATGAGGAAAAAGCCAAAGTGATAAGCCTATCAGATCTCATGAGACTTATTCACTATCACAAGAATAGCATGGAAAGACCAGCCCCCGTGATTCAATCACCTCCCTTTGGGTCCCTCTCACACCCCATGGGGATTCTGGGAGATGCAATTCAAGTTGAGATTTGGGTGAGGACACAACTAAACCATGTCAGAAATGTAGCACAGTTATTGATTTGCCTATTCTTGCATCTCAGGGATAAATTTCACTTCATCATAATGAATGATCTTTTCAATGTGTTGTTGAATTCAGTGTGATAGTATTTTGTTGAAGATTTTTGCATGATTATTCATCAGATATATTGGCCTGTAGTTTTCTTTCTTTCTTTTTTTTTTTTTTTTTGCTGTATCCTTGTCTGGTTTCAATATCAGAAAATTAATGGCCTCATAGAATGAGTTGCAGAAATATTCTTTATTCCTCTATTTTTCAGAAGAGTTTGAGTAGGATTGGTATTAGTTCTTCATTAAATGTCTGGTAAAACTCAGCAGTAAAGTCATTGGGACCTAGGCTTTTTTTTGTTTGTTTGTTTGCTGGGAGACATTTTATTATGGCTTTGTTCTCATTATTTGTTACTGGTCTGTTCAGGTTTTGGATTTCTTCCTGGTTCAATCTGGTAGGTCATATGTATCTAGCAAGTGATCCATTTCTTCTAGATTTTCCATTTTATTGGCATATAGTTGCTCATAGTAGCCTCAAATGATCCTTTGATTTGTGTGACATTGGTTTTAATGTCTCCTTTCTCATCTCTGATTTTTTTGTTTTTTTTTTCTTAACTAGTCTGACTAAAGATTTGTCAATGTTGTTTACATTTCAAAAAAAAGCTTTTCTGTTTCGTTGATCTTTGTATCATTTTGTTTCAATTTTATTCATTTCTGTTCTGATCTTTATTATTTCTTTCCTTCTACCGATTATTGGTTTGGTATGCTCTTGCTTTCCTAGTTCTTTAGGATGCTTTGTTAGGTTGTTTACTTGAAGTTTTTCTTCTTTTTTTGATGTAGGCACTTATAGCTATAAAGTTCCCTCTTGGTACTGTTTTTGCTGTATCCCATAGGTTTTGGTATGTTGTGTTTCCATTATCATTTGTTTTAATACATTTTTCAATTCCCTTCTTAATTTCTTCATTGACCTACTAGTCATTCAGGAGCATATTATTTAATTTCCATGCATTTGTGTAGTTTCCAAAATTCTTCTCGTTATTGATTTCTAGTTTTATTACACTGTCATCAGATAATATGCTTGATATTATTTCAGTTTTTGAATGTTTTAACACTTTTTTATGATATAATATGTGGTCTATTTTTGAGAATGATCCATGTGCTGCGGAAAAGAAAATGTAATCTGTAGCTGTTTGATGAAATGTTTTGTAAATATATATTAGGCCCATTTGTTCTATAGTGCAGATTAAGTCCAGTATTTCTTTTTTGATTTTCTGTCTGGGAGACATGTCCAGTGCTGATGGTTGGGAGTTGAAGTCTCTCTCTAGCTATTATTTTACTGGGGTCTCTCTCTCTCTTTAGCTCAACCAATATCTGCTTTATATATCTGGATGCTCCAGTTGGGTGCATATGTGTTTACAATTGTTATATCCTCTTGCTGAGTTGACCCCTTTATCATTATATAGTGACTTTCTTTGCCTCTTCATGTAGTTTTTGTCTTGAAATCTATTTTGTCTTATATAGGTATAGCTACTCCTACTCTTTTTTGGTTTAATTGGCATGAAATACCTTTTTCCATCTCATTATTTTCAGTCTATGTGTATCTTTACAGGTGAAGTGTTTTTCTTGTAGGCAACATATTGTTGGGTCTTTTTTTTAATCCATTCAGCCACTTTATGTATTTTATTGAAGAGTTTAGTCCATTTACATCCAATGTTATTATTGATAAGTAAGGACCTACTCTTGTCATTCATTATGCTATTTGTTTTCTGTTTTGTGTGTGTGTGTGTGTGTGTGTGTGTGTGTGTGTGTGTAATCTTTTCTTCCTCCTTTCCTTCCTTCCTGTCTTCCTTTTAGTGAAGGTAATTTTCTGTGGTGGTATGTTTTAATTTCTTCCTTTTTATTATTTTTTATCTGTTGTTTTTTGATTTGAGGTTACCATGAGGCTTGCAAATACTCTTTTATAACTCATTATTTTAAACTGATGACAAGTTAACACTGATTTCATAAACAGACAAGCAAAAAGAAAACAAAATGCTTCACTTTAACTTCATCCTCTGCTTTTTAACTTATTGTTGTTTCTTTTCATATATTTGAAATTTTGTTTTTAATTTTTTACTTTTTTTTGATGAGGTTTCACTATGTTGCCCATGCTGGTCTCCAACTCCTGAACTCAAGCAATTCTCCTGTCTCAGCCTCTCAAAATGCTGGGATTACAGGTGTGAGCCACTGTGCATGGTTATATTTATATGCTATTTTATTATGTCTTGAAAAGTTGTCGTAGTTATTATTTTTATTGGTTCATCATTTAGTCTTTCTACTTAAGAGTAGCTTATACACAACAATTACAGTGTTATAATATTCTGTGTTTTTCTGTGTACTTACTATTATCAGTGAGTTTTGAATCTTCAGGTGATTTCTTGTTGCTTACTAATGTCCTTTTCTTTCAGATTGACAAACTCCCTTTAATATTTTTTGTAAGTCAGGATTGGTGTTGAGGAAATCCCTCAGCTTTTCTTTGTCTGGGAAAGTCATTATTTCTCCTTTATGTTTGAAGGATATTTTCACTGGATATGGTATTCTAGAGTAAAAGTGTTTTATCTTCAGCACTTTAAATATTCAATGCCACTCTCTTCTGGCCTGCAAGGTTTTCACTGAAAAATTTTCTGCCAGATGTGTTGAAGCTCCATTGTATGTTATTTATGTTATTTGTTTATTTTCTCTTCCTGCTTTTGGAATCCTTTCTTTATCCTTGATCTTTGGGAGTTTGATTATTGAATGCCTAGAGGTAGTCTTTGGGTTAAATCTGCTTGGTGTTTTATAGCCTTCTTGTACTGGGTTTGGGAAGTTCTCTGTTATTATCTCTTTGAATAAACTGTCTACCCTTATCTCTTTCTCTACCTCTTCTTTAAGGTCAATAACTCTTGGATTTGCCTCCCTTGCCTCCCTTGAGGCTATTTTTTACATCTTGTAGGTGTGCATCATTCCTTTTTATTCCTTTTTCGTTTGTCTCCTCTAACTGTATTTTCAAATAGACTGCCATCGAGCTCACCAATTCTTTCTTCTGCTTGATCAATTCTGCCATTAAGAGACTCTGATGCATTCTTCAGTATGTCAATTGCATTTTTCCACTCCATAATTTCTGCTTTATTCTTTTTTATTATTTCAATCTCTTTGTTAAAATTATCTGATAGGATTCTGAATTCCTTTTCTGTGTTATCTTGAATTTCTTTGAGTTTCCTCAAAACAGCTATTTCGAATTGTCTGAGAGGTTACATGTCTCTGTTTCTCCAGGATTTGTCTCTGGTGCCTTATTGAATTCATTTGGTAAGGCTGTGTTTTCTTTGGTCATGTTGATGTTTGTGGATATGTGTCAGTGTCTGGGCATTAAAGAGTTATGTATTTATTATAGTCTTTGCAATCTGGGCTTCTTTGTACTCATCCTTCTTGGGAAGGCTTTTCAGATATTCAAATGGATTTGGGTGCTGTGATCTCAGCTATATCTGCATTAGGAGGTATCTCAAGTCTAGTGTTGCCGTGCTTCTTGCAGACTCCTAGAGGTGTGGCCTTGGTGGACTTGGATAAGAGCCAGAAGAATTCTCTGGATTACCAGGCAGAGACTCTTGTTCTCTTCCCTTACTTTCTCCCAAACAAATGGAGTCTCTCTCTCTCTCTCTTTGTACTGAGCCACCTAGAGCTGGAGGAGAGGTGACACAAGCTCCCCTGTGGTCACCACAACTGGGACTGTTCTTGGTCAGACCCAAAACCAGCATAGCACTGAGTCTCACCCAAGGCCCACAGTAACCACTGCCTGGCTACCACTTATGTTTGATCAAGGCCCCAGGGCTCTACAATCAACAGATGGTGATTCCAGCCAGGTTTGTGTACTTCACTTCAGACCAGCAAGTTCCTCAGGGCCCCAGGTAAGTCCAGAGATGCCATCTAGAAGCCAGGGACTGGAGTAAAAATCTTAGAAATCTACCTGGTTCTCTATTCTACTTCTGCTAAGCTGGCACTCAAACCACAAGACAAAGGTCTTTTCCCTTTCCACAGGCAAAGGAGCCTCTTGCCACAGGCCACCACTAACAAAGAGCCACTGGGAGTACTGCCCAGCTACTGCTGATGTTCACTTAAGGCCCAAGGGCTCATTAGTCAGCTGGTGGTGAATGCTGCCAGATCTGGGACTAACCTTTCAAGACATTGGGCTCCCCTCTGGCCCAAGGCATGTCCAGAAATAACATCCGAGGCCCAAAGCCTGTAATCAGGGACCCAAGATCCTGCTTGGTGCTGTACCCTACTGTGGCCAACCTGACACCTAAGGTGTGAGACAAAGTCCCTTTTACTTTCCCTGTTTTCTCAACAGAATAAGTCTCTCACCATAGCCACCACAGCTGGAAATGTGTTGGGTCGCACCTGAAGCCAGCATGTCTTAGAGTCTTATGCAAAGCCTGCAGTATACTACCTGGGCATCACTGCGAATTATTTAGAGCCCCCAGGCTCTTTTGTCAGCAGATGATGAATTCTGCTAGGACTGGGTCCTTCCATTCAAGGCACTGGTTTCCTTTCTGGCCCAGTGTTTGTCTAGAAATGTCTGGGAGGTAGTGCCTGAACTGGGGGCCTCATGACTCTGACAGGTCCCTATCATCCTGTAGCTGAGTTGGTATCTAAGATGCAAGACTAAGTCCTCTTTACTCTTCCTTCTCCTCTTCTCAAGCAGATGCAGTGAGTCACTTTCATTGCTGTGAGCTGTGCTGCCTGAGGTTGGAGGGGGGAGTGGCACAAGCACTCCCTTGACTGTCCCGCTGGTGTTTCACTAGGTCATGTGTCCTCTAAGCCCACTGGCTGCAAGCCCAGCACAGCACTAGGATTTGCCTAAGACTTGAAGTCCTTGTGGCCTAGACTAGACTGTCTTTCAAGTTTATTTAGGAACCCAGAGTACTTCAGCTTAGAGTGGTGAGGCTTGTAGACCCTCAAGTTCTGAATGCTGGAATGGGTGATTCCATCTGGCTAAGGCTGGTTTAAATGCACCCTCAGTGGGCATTGGCTGAATTGAGTCCAGTTTTACTTTCCCCTGTGACAGGGTAGCAATGAGCTCCAATGCAAAGTCCTATAGTTACTGTGCTCTCCCTCCACGAAGCATGCAGATTCTCTCTCCGCACCATGCAGCCACTGTCAGGGGATGGGGGAGGGGTGGTGTCAGTGATTCAAGACTGTCTTTCCTATACTCTTCAGTGCCTCTTTCAGTAATATGAAGTTAAAACCAGGTACTGTGATCACCTCACCTGGATTTTTGCTTCCTAGGAAGGTGCATTTTTGTGTAGATAGTTGTGACATTTGATGTTCCTATGGGGAGGATGATTAGTGGAAGCTTCTATTTGGCCATCTTGCTCCACCTCCTCTTTGCCATGCTGTTAATTTAAGAGTCAGCACTCTGAAATATTAGAGCTCATGAAAACCTGTTAAAAATAATGGTGAAGCTTTTATCTTTTAATATATTTTGTTAGAATTTATAAGAACTACTTATCTGTTGAAAGTTAATTTCAACAGATATATATATATATACCTGTCCTCGGGGGTATAGATTTTGCAATGCTTTTAGGGCATGATATAGTGTCTCCAGAAAACAACAGAAACTTCCTAGCCCCTATCAATCTCTGCAGTCTCATCTTCTCCCTCGCAGACAGTTCTGGATCACCTATTAAGCCCACTAAGCACACATTTGAAACACCAGGAATGCAAGCCCCATCCTGCCCCATCCTTCCCCAGCCCACCTCACAAAATGAGAGACCTCAACGAAATGAATCTATCCATAACTTTATAATTGGATAAGTCTAGAAAAAGCTATTTTAATTTCCACTTTCAGGTAGGTATTGTGTTGTTTTGAAAAATAAGATTTTTCTTCTCTTAATGTCTTTTATTTCTTTTCCTTTTCTAAGAAATTGCTAGCTAGGTAAAAGTAAAATGTCATTTATAATTGCACATGGTGGGGCTCATACTTGGGGCTTCTAATGGTCATAGATAACTACAATCTTTCAGAATTATTTATAATCCCTTCAATGTAACGTTCTCGCAACTCTACAACTTGTTTTTACATGCGGCATAAATGTCCCTCTTCAAATTATCCACCTAGAAAACTCCAACTCATCCAAAATTTAGGAATTCCTCATTTAATTCCATAAACCCATTTACTCTTGTGTTAGATAGTGTGTCAGTTATCAATTTGATGCTTCTCAACTTGAAGTGTGCTCTTCATCACCCTGTGATTTTTATATCTGGGCCCTGTAAATATTTTTTGCCACCTGGCATGATGTTCGTCTTTGTCAATGGAGGACACTGGAGGGAGATTGCAGGAGGAAGGGGCTTCTTTTTATGCTTCCCTGTGCTTGCCTTTCTTCTTGCTCCTGTTGCACTTAGACCATAAGCAAGATACTTAGCCAAGCTCATTCTGGAGCTTTTACATCAGCACCCAATGGGTGCATTCCTGGCATGTTTTGTCAGCACCTCCATGGGTGCTTTCCTGTTTTCCAGCCTCAGCCAGCCACACGTGCTTCAGTGAACTCCTCTGCCATCGGTGGCCCTATAGCCTTACTTCTCCAATGAAGTGTGAATCTCAGCCTTGGATGGAGGGCTTTCTTCCACATTCGTTCCTGACTTGGGTGCTCTGCTTCAGCCTAGGGGTAGAAACTGCTGTCTATTTGCCACCGTGTCTGTGATTTCTGTATTCTTTAGAGTTCTCTTAACACCTTATAGCTAGCTACCTGCCTGTTATTAGTTAAGAATTCTTTACATTAACCTTTCTCTATTCAAAATAATGTGTAGTGTCTGTTCTCTGACTGGACCCTGATGATGCAGGTATCTTGTCTGCTGAATCCAGGAGCACCCTGTCCTTGCCCCCAGAATAGCTCTAATTAAGCTGTATATGGAAGTGCCTATGTATGCCCCATCTCCCTGTCCACACTGGAAACTCCTTCCTGGATATCTCTCCTTTTCTCCTCTAGGTTACTCTGCACCCTTCCCCAGAGACTGGCCATTCTGGTGTTCACCACGGGTTCTCATGAATTTGGTTAGATTCCAAGTGGGAATCTTAAGAGTAAATTAGAGCAAGAGAGGGATGTGATGCCAAGGCATTTGCATTTATTTCTCTGCTGATTCCCTGAAAGGGACCTCAGCTATCTGGATTCTTCATTGTCTCTCCCAAAGCAATATTCTCAACAAATATTTCTTCCAGCTTGCGGTAACCATTCCCTCACCTTTTCCCTTTGTACCTAGGACAGAAAATAGCTCCTCTGTGCATGAGGTTACCGCAGTATCCCTTGGGTTACATCTATGACCCCTTCCAATTCATGTGCGTGAACAGTTCATCTGTAAATAGACCCCTCCAATAACCTAATTTGAGTACTTTTTCCTTCTTTTTTTTTTTTTGAGACAGGGTTTTACCCACGCCAGAGTGCAGTGGTGCAATCTGAGCTAACTGCAACCTCTGCCTCCTGGGTTCAAGCAATCCTCCCACCTCAGCCTCCCAAGTAGGTGGGACTACAGGTACGCCCCACCATGCGAATTTTTTGTATTTTTTGTACAGACAGGGTTTTGCCATGTTGGCCAGGCAGTCTCAAACTCCTAAGCACAAATGACACACCCGCCTTGGCCTCCCAAAGTGCTGGGATTACAGACATGAGCCACCGCACTTGGCCACTTTTTCCTTCTTATTGTGATTCTAATCCAGACTCTTTGTCTCTGTTCACTCATTCAATAACAATTTTTGTTGTCTATTATATTCCAGAAACTATGTTAATCACTCACAATTTTAGGTTCCTAAAAGAGGGAGACTGAGAGAGAAAATCCCTGTATGATTGGAATTGACATTTGACATTTTAGACCCAGGTTCTAGGCAGAATAGGTGCTATTCTGAAGGGATAAATGAATTCATCTTTGCACTAAACTTTCTTATTCAGTGATACATTAGAAGTGCTGCCAGGTGAGTGGGCAAAAGCCTACTGATAACATACAGAACATATTACTGAAGGGAGTAGGAAGAGGGTGGGCAATAAGCCATACAAGAGAGGATTCCTAAAACCAGTGCCTGCAGGCCTTATAGAAGGGTGCAGCAGCAACAAGAGCTATATTTATTTCATTGTAAGTCTACTTTTTTATTGAATAAATTGAAAGACACCCACAATATTTTCCCTGGAAACTTGGGATCTTAAAAATAGACACAGAAATTTGGGTTTTTCAGCTTTTCCATCAGATCAAGTTATTGCAAAGAGTATAACTTCCACCCCCTGCCTAAGAACTACACAAATATCCTAGCTGGTTTTTAGGAAAAAAGGGATATTTTATGGAAAATAGTCACATTTCTTAGAAGGCAGATGGGTTAAGCTAAATGTCTTATCAGTAGTATGTGTCAGTTAATGTTCTGATCCCCAGTACCATGCAAACTCATCTTTTTACATCTGTCTGAAATTTTCATCAAATAATACTCATGCCAAGAGACCAAAAGAGTCTACGTCCCATCTTTGACTCATGCTTTAGAAAAATTATTCAGATTTATCACAAGCAAGCAGAGATTCTACACTTAGACCATCTCTGAGAAATATCAACAGAGGATCATGACAACATTGCCATCTGCAGCAAAGCATGATGGATATCCATACCAAGGTAATTTAATTATTTTTTGTGGCTAACACAGATTTTTACCTGCTCTTTCTCTAACTGTTCAAATTAGAATACATTTCACATATTTATAAGAGCCAGTAGTAATAACAGTGGTTCTTAGGCTCCAACATGTTAAAGATAAAATATGAATAGGTTTACTGTGTATTCTGGGACATTCAAGACCACTCTCACTTCTGATACCAACTTCAAGTTAGGGTTCCCAAGATCACCTTCAGTTTTAATAATTCTCTAGAAGGATTCACAGAACCCACAGAAAACAGTTAATCTTGGTTGCAGCTTATTACAGTGAAAAGATACAGCTTAAAATCAGCCAAGGGAAGAGGTGCATAGGGCAGAGTTCAAGAAACATCCACACACACACTTCCCAGTGGAGTTATGGACAGTGCTAACTTTTCGGGTAATATTTGTTATGATACACATGGAGTACTGCCAATGAAGGAAGCTGACCTGAGTCTTGGTGTCCAGAGTTTTGTTGGGGCTCATCACATAGACATGGTTGGCTTTCCATGTGGCTAACCCAAGTCTCCAGCCCCTCCAGAGGTCAAGCTGGTACCATGGGCCCCAAATCCCTCACCATAAATCACACTGTTAAACTATCTGGCTGGGCCCAAGCCCCTAATAAACAAAAACACTGTTATCAGGCATGATATTCCAAGAGTTTAGAGATTACCTCAACAGCTGAGGGCAGAGGCCAGACCTGTCTTTGGGCAAGGTTAAGTAAATACTTCACTACTCACTTGGGGGATTAAAAAGAGCAGGATCATAATCAGATTTGATTTAGTATTATTTCTAAATAAATTAACTTTCCATTTTCTTATTATTAATATGATTTCCTTTTAATTTCCAGCTTTATTCTTGGTAGAGTAGCATTTACATCCACATCTACTTTCTAAAAACATCTGGAAGCAAGACAGAGAGATACTGATGAAAGAAAAAAGTTCTGGGATATTTCTAGACCTTAAGGCCCATCTCTGTTAGTAATAAATGAAAGAGTAGATTTTACATGTCCTTGAGGAATATCAGAATTGGCACTTGGAGAAAGGAGGAAGGAATACAGAGAAACTAATAGCAACCTACTTTCTATAGTTTTCTGTGATTAACCTCTAAGTTTGCACTAAGAGAGCATTTAATTCAATAAAGACTGAAAGGGGTCAGATAATAGCCTAACAGTCTAACAAAAGGATTTTTTTTTTTTTTTTTTTTTTGAGACAGGATCTCACTTTGTTACCCAGGCTGGAGTGCAGTGGTGTGATCTTGGCTCAATGCAGCCTTGAACTCCCAGGCTTAAGTGATCCTCCTGCCTCAACCTCCCAAGTAGCTGGGACTACAGGCATGTGCTATCATGCCACGCTAATTTTTTTGTATTTTGAGTAGAGATGAGGTTTCACCATGTTGGCCAGGCTGGTCTTGAATTCCTGGCCTCAAGTAATCCTCCTGCCTCGGCCTACCAAAGTGCTAGGTTTAGAGGCATGAGCCACCACACCTGGCCAAGAGGATTTTTTAAAATAAGAAAATAACAAAAGAATAGGAAATAGCATTAAATTCTTGAAACCGCAACAACGAAAACCTAGGAAAAGATTTAAGTCCATGTAACTGTTCAAAAATACCTGTTCCCTGTGCAACCAAATCTGTTAAAAAGATATGGTAATGTTTCTTATTCTTATCTGTTGGAATAAAGTCAGATAAATATCAATATAAATTATATGCTGCTTGGTAACAAATCCACAAAGGTCACACAAAGGAAATAAAATGCTAATTACTAGCTCTACATAGTAGAATTATATATTCACATTAGCTGAACTGCTTATGAGCTACTTTTCTAGCCGACCCCTCACTCCTTATTCGCACTCTCCTGCTTTGGTGCCAAAAGTAATTGCTCTGTCTTCAACACCTCCTGATTTTTTTTTTTTTTTTTTTTTTTTTACTTATTTCAGTATATCTCTGCTTGCTCCATTGTTTGTCTTGGGGAATGTCCTCCCTCACTGCCTTTTTTTTTCTTTGACAAATCCAGGCATTTTCTTTTATATTGCCATTTCCTCAGAACATTGAGGTCCTTGAAGATGCTCATTTATTTTTATTTGATGACATCTATTTAGCACTTAACCAGGGAAAATGGATTTCCTTTTCAACTTTCTTTTGAGAGCCAGGCTCCAGTCTTCGTGCCTTTTTTATACCATGAAGACCTGCTGTTCTTTTATTCTGCTTAAGTGCATAAGCGTTACTGTGTATGGTGAAAACCGTGTTGCCTCACAGAGCAGCCAAAAGCTAGCTGCTAAAACCAGGATTCATTCTGTAACAGGATGACATTTTGTCTTTTTTTTTGAGACGGAGTCTCACTCTATCTTTTTACTCTTCCACGTGACTTCTGTATTTCAGGGGAGAGGAAGTGCGATTCCTAAGGGGATGATTTGATTCTTCTCAAATACCAGCTCAGCCTCTCTTTAAGGCCACACACCGATGCTGAGCTGAAGAGTGGCCTGATCTGAATTTTCCCCTAGGTTTTAGGAGATGCAGAGTATTTTTCGTATGAACGAACTCTGGACCCCTTCCCAGGATATTAGTCCTTCCAACTTTCACTGATTTTTGTCACGCTTTTCCTTTGGATTGCCTCAGTAACCCGATGGGTGACCTGCACCAGTGGGCAGGAGAAACACGAGCTTCCTTGGTGACTGTAAATATTCAACTGAAAAAAACTGTATCATGGAACACATTATAGAATTACCTGATGAATTAATCTTTCAAAATATACCTCATTCCCCATGCTATTTGTGTTGAACTACCACTAGCAACTTTTTATGATTTCAATTTTTCATTATAATTTTTCACCTGGGACCCCCAGGTTATTTCAGTTCTGAGATTATTTCAATTCTGTGTAAACAGAGAACATAAGGTGGTAGATCGGTTTGTTTGAACTCAATATTTGGCTCCTGTCACAAACATTCATTTATCCAAAGCAATTAAAAATGATGAATAATAAATCACCAATTATATCACAACTGTGGTCCCATTATATTCCAGAATTAAGTGCCTGAATTTGGTAAGCAGAAGTAAAGCCCATGACAGTAGAAAAGAAGGCTACTCAGAAGGCTAGACGCTCTCAAATGGGGACGAGCCCTTAATGTTCTACGAGGAGGTACCATTTTAGATGAAGATTCTGATGTTTGCACATTTCTCTGCATAGGGCTATACAACAAACTGATTAAAGGCGAGGTCTCTGGAGCCAGGTTTGATTTTTCAGTTTCATAATTTACTCATAGTCTCAACTCCAAAGAGTGAGTGTGAGGATTAAGTGAGTTAATATGAGAAAAACACTTAGAACAATGTTTGAACATTATAATTACTCAATAAATTTATCTATTATTTATTATTACTAATTGTGTACAGCATCCCTAAATATCCCTGGGGTCTTTTAAGAATTGAGGTATAATTTACATACAAGAAATGTGTATCTAAGTGTACCATTCAATCAGTTTTGATAAATGTGTATTAAGACACAGAACATTTCCATCACTCCTCTCTCTATTCAGATAGCACCTCCCAAGCAGCAGCAAATGATGTAATTTTTATTGCAATAGATTACTTTTCATATCTTGTAGAGTTTCATATAAATGGGAGTGCATGGTATGAACTTTTTTGTTCTTGACTTCTTTCCCTTGGCAGAAAATTTTTGAGATTTACCCATTCTGTTTTAGCAGTAGTTTGCTCCTTTTTATGAGTGAACAGTATTTCATGTATGAATATACAAGGTTATAGACATGTTTGTTGTTTCCAGTTTGGGGCTATGATAAATAAAGCTGCCATAATCATTCATTTACAAAAATTGTATAGACATGTTTTCTGTTATCTTGGATAAATTACCTAAGTGGGAAAATGTTGAGTCATAGGGTAGGTGCATGTCTAACTTTTAAAGTAACTGACAAATGGTTTTACAAACTGGTTGTGCCATTTTATATGTATAAAAATTCCACTAAATTCAAATTCTCTTGACATTTGTAATTGTCAGTCTTTTAAATTTTAGCCAGTTTGGTGTTTATATAATGGTTTATCATTATGGTGTTAATTTCAGTTCCCCTAATGACTAATGATATTTAGCATCTTGTTATGTGTTTATTGGCCATTTATTATATTTTTTGTATAGTGTATGTTCTAGTCTTTTGCCCATTTTTTAAATTGGGTTTTTGTCTTTTTTATCATGGAGTTGAAGGAGTTCTCCACACATGTTAACAAGTCCTTTGTCCTATATATGTGTTGCCCATAATTTCTCAAAATCTATGACTTGTCTATTTATTTGGTGGCATATTTCAAAGAGCCAAAGTTTTAAATTCTGATGAAGTCTTATTTGTCGGGTTTTTATTTTATGATTCAACTATGGGTTTTCTAAGAAATATTTGCCTGACACAAATCTGCAAAGATATATTTTTCTAAGTTTTTGTTCATTAGCTATATTTTTTAGGTTATTACCTTTAGGAATATTGTTCAATTAGAATTGACTTTTTTGTGTATGATGTGAGGTAGGGGCAGAGTTTGTTTGTTTGTTTGTTTTCAATCCAGTATTCCAGCATATTTGTTGAAGAGATTTTCCTTTCCCCATTAGGCTGCTTTGGTGCTCTTGTTGAAAATCACTTGACTATATAAGTTTGGCCTCTTTGTTGACTCCTCATTCTATCTAATTGATCTATTTGTCCTTTTGCCAATATTATACTGTTTTAGGTATAGTAGCTTTATGATAAATGCCGAAGCCAGGTAGCATAAATCCTTCCATTTTTGTTTTTCTTTTTGAAGATTGCCTTCATTATTCTTGATCTTTTGTTTTTCCGGATAGTTTAAAATACGTTTATGTTAGAAAATATTTTGATTTACAAAGGTTGCAAAGAGAGTAAAAAGATTTCCCACGTAGTCCACACTTGGTTTCTTCTATTGCTAATATATTACATTAGTGTGGTGCATCTGTCACAACTAATAAATCAATATTGACACATTATTATTAAAGCTCATACTTTATTCAGAGTTCCCTTTTCTGCACCATGTCATTTTTCTCCTTCGAATACCATTCAGGATACCACATTGCATTGAGTTGTCCTGCCTTTTTAGGCTTCTCTAGACTGTGGTAATTCATTAGTCTTTCCTTATTTTTGATGACCTTGACTGTTTTGAGGGGTGCAGGTCAGCTATTATGTGCAATGTCCCTCAACTGGGAGTTGTCTGATATTTTTCTCAGTAGTAGACTGGATTTACGGTTTTGGGGGGAGAAAGATCACAGAGGTAAAGTGCCATTTTTATTGTATTACATGAAGGGTACATGCAATCAATATGCTTATCACTGTTGATTCTCATCTTAGTCATCTGACTAGGGTAGTATTTGTCAAGTTTCTCCACAATAAATAATCAAGTTACTCTTCCCTTTACCTTACTCCATACTGAAGAAAATCACTATGAATAGCCCATGCTTAAATGGTAGAGAGGTGGTGGATACTTCCTGAAAAGGGAGTATCTATGTAAACTATTTAGAATTTTTCTGCACTGGAGATATTCCATTATTTCCTACTTATTTACTTATGTATGTATGTATACAATTGTGTATGTGTTCAGTCGTTAACTACAGAAATTGATTGAAATTCTTCTCTATGGAATATTTGTCTCTCTTTCTCCATTTATTTATTTATTCAAACATTTATTTATATCAATATGGAGCCAACCATAATTATTTTATATTTCATGTTATAATTCAATGGCATACTACTAATTGCTCAGAATTTTTTAGCATTGGCTATTAGGAGGCCTTTCATATTGGTCCTGTATCCCTTTGGAAAGTTCCCATAATTGTTTTTGAGCATTTTCTTTCTTTTTGGTAATAGAAGATGCTCTAGATGGATATTGCATATTTCCTGCATCAGTCCTAAAATTAGTCATTTATCTAAGAAGTTCTGGCTCCTTTTATTGGAGAATGGCACTGGAAACTGAGATCTGGGCACCAATGTGCTCATTGATTTAGGGTGTTACTGTTTCTAGGCCCTTTCAGCTCATAGTACAAGCAAATATATGTGTGTACACTTATCTGTGTGTGTGTGTGTGTGTGTGTGTATGTCTTCAACCTTTTTGTGCTGCTATAACAGTGATTGGGTAATTTATAATGAAAAAAATTTTATTAGCTCACAGCTATGGAGTCTGAGAAGTCCAACATGAAGGTGACAGCATCTGGCAAAGACCTTTTTGCCATATCATAATAGGGCAGAAGCCATCACATGATAGAGGGGTAAAGAGAGAGCAAGAGAAAGCAAGAGAGGATGAGCTCACTATTGTGATAAAGAACCCATTCTTATAATAACAGCGTTAGTCCATTCATGAGGGCAGAGCTCTCATGACCTAAACACCTCTTAAAGGTTATACTTTATACTATTAGAATGGCAGCTAAGTTTCAACATGAGTTTTGAAGGGGACAAACATTTAAACTATAGCATTATACATATTCAATGAACATGCCATTCAAACAGGAGTGTGTAAAAAAGAAAAAAAAAATGGCAGTTCAACTGTACAGAATTTTGGGAATACAATAGATTTTCAAAAGTATTCAATGACATTGATCCACTCGCATTTTATAGGCAAAAAAATGGAGATCAAGTAATGTAAAATAACTCGCCTAAAGTCACATAGCAAGTCAGGATCAGGGTGGAACTGAGTGGAACCCGGGTTTCCTGACCTCATGGCACAGCTCTTTTCTCCACCCTGTGTTTCCTCTCTTTCTTTGCCTCTAGCACAACTTGGGACTATATTCTCTATGTCCTAGCTTTCAACAAAAGAGCAAAACAAATCCATGGCTTGACAATGTTCAGATTTATAAAAAGAGAAACGAGGAACATTGGTATATGTTTAAATTTCAAGACATTCTATTATTTTAGCCATCAAGCTTGATCCCACCTGTATCTTTTGTTTAAATAAAGCCTCAGTTTCCCAGTGTGTTTGCCTGTGATCTAGAGCTATAAATCACACGATTTATGAAATATCATTGGACAGAAACAATTTTAATTGTGTAAAATACCTAATATCTCATTAACTTTACTAAAACCCAAAATTACTGTTGTCCAGTTAAGTAAACAACTTTTTTCAATGAAAATGTTTTCTCCATTGTAATTGCCATATAGCTCATAATTCCTTTTATAAGCAGTCATGAAGAAAAATTTCTTATGAAAGTAAAACGCAAAGTATAAAAATAAAAATCTGTGATACTGACATAACAGTCAGAAACCAAACAATTTACTAATCAATAATTGAAATATATTAGTTGTTCATTGGGTAAAAAGTGTACATGTAGCTCTTAATAGAAGATATACACATTAATTCTTTCCTTAATCTGACTAAGACAGGAGGTATGTGTGTATGTGTGGTATATGTATTGTGTATGTGTCGTTGATATAATAGTTGCTTCCATTCCTTAAAAATCCGTACTTATATTCCCTTTAAACACTTCGCCAGTGCATTCGGAGATTAGATCTTTAAGAAGGAATCTCTAATGTCAGTCTCCTCATGGAAATTGCTTCTTAGCATGATTTCAAAATTGATATTTTTAAACTTATGTTTAAATAATGATAGGTCAGGCATGGTGGCTGACGCCTGTAATCCCAGCACTTTGGGAGGCTGAGGTGGGAGAATCTCTCAAGGCTAGGAGTTCAAGACCAGCCTGGGCAACATAGTGAAACCCCATCTCTACAAAAAATAAAAAAATTAGCAGGGCATGTTTGTGTACTCCTGTAGTGCCAGTTACATTGGAGGCTGAGGTGAGAGGATAACATGAGCCCAGATGATCGAGGGTACAGTGAGCTATGATTGCACCACTGCATACCAGCCTGGGTGACAGAGGAAGACTCTGTCTCAAATAATAATAATAATAAATTTTCAAAAATAATGACCATGGTTTGTGTAGATGTAAAAAAAATCCTAAAAATTTGTAAAGTTTTATCACAAGAAACATATCTTCCTAACTGATTACAAAGTTCATCTACCTTAACATCAGCAATTATAGTGATGTTCATTTTTTGGTTTTCAACATAACTGCTTATTTATTAATAATAGATGCTTATTAGTAGAAACTACATACATCAAAAGGAATATTTTGAAAGAGGTGAAATTTTAGTTTCAGAAAAATAAGAATGTTCATTAGAAAAAAATTTCTTCAAGGCACAAACAATGTGTAAGGAGGGTGGTATTTGTCACTTAAATAATTGAACCCTTTGGTGAAGAATGATGTGTTAATACAGGAATTATATTGTCATCTAGATTATTAAAAAGGACTGAAATAACATAAACAAGAGAAGGCAAGACTACACCACTTAAAAAATAATACAACAAAGCAAAAGGAAACATTGTAGAAAGTGGTTATAAACAAAATTTTTTTTTAGCACAGGCTTTGCCATAAAATAAATCTTGGAAGAAACCCAAGATCTACCATTTACTAGCTATGACCTTAAACAAATTCCTCAATTGCTGGAAGTCTCAGATTTTTCATCTGTAAATGGAGTTCATAATAGTTAGTACTGAATGCTTTACTATGTGCTAGGCACCACTGTAATAATTTTTTCATTTTTATTTTCTTTAAGACGGAGTCTCACTGTGTCACCTAGGCTGGAGTGCAGTGGTGCGATCTTGGCTCACTGCAACGTCTGCCTCCCGGGTTCACGCGATTCTCCTGACTCAGCCTCCCGAGTGGCTGGGATTACAGCCACCAAGCCTGGCTAATTTTTTTGTGTTTTTAATAGAGACGGGGTTTCACCATGTTAGCCAGGATGGTCTCAATCTCCTGACCTTGTGATCCACCCGCCTCAGCCTCCCGAAGTGCTGGGATTACAGGCGTGAGCCACCACACCCAGCCCATTCTAATTGTCTTTATGTGTTGTCTTCCTTGCTGTGTTCAAGAAGCCAAGAATTTGGTTCCATTATTGTTGCCATTTTACACATAAATATAGGCACAGAGATGTGAAAACATTTGCAGAAGATCATGCAGTTGCAGGTAGGGGAGCAAGATCAGAACTCAAACACTCTGGTTTGAATTCGTGATTTTCACCACCATGTGACCTGACTACATCAGAGGCTTTTGTGAGAATTAAAATTTCAAACTATATGTAAAATACTAAGAACAAGTCCTGCCCTTAGTGAGCAGCTATCAAAGAATAAAACAAAGAAAACTGAAATTAAAGGAGACCCAATCCAAGTTTATTAACCTGTCGGGGAAAGGAAAACACACCATGAAGCCATTTATTGACTAGTTGCACTGAGGGACAAAACGCTGATTAAGCGCTAGAAAACAGAGGAGGGTGTGTGTGTGTATGTGTGTGTGTGTGTGTGTGAGCTCATGGTGTTATCTTAAATAAAGATTGAATACTAGTGGCCTGAAAAGGAGGAGACAAGTTTGTAAGTCTGAATGTGATTGGATAAAACAAGTTTCCATGTTCATTAATCAGGAGAATTTTTGGATGGAATTAGTAGCAGCATGGCATCTTAAGTCACTCAAAATTCATGGCTTTTTTTTTTTCAGCTTCAGTTTGTCAGAACCAGTTGGGATGCAACAGGATTTTCAGTTTTGCTGCCTTCCATGCATGAATGGCTGTGAGTTGAAAATTTCCTTTTATCCATGGTAGCTATGATGATGATCACAATAGTGATCATGATACTAATTATGACCATGAATTTGCTACTGGATTGTAAAGTAATTTTTAAATTATACTTGTGCAATCTCATTTTCACTCTGTTGGACATGGGCTTCCAAATTGTTAGTGATTTATTTTCAAGCATGTGTATTTTGTGGATTTGGTCCTCATGCATTCTGCAAAGAATAGTACCAGTCAATGTTCAAAATATATGTCTTATAATTGTCAGAGTTGGAGACTTCACTAAGTTACTTGGGATCACAGGGTTTACTGTCTGGTGTAGAGTGATGTTCTCAGGAAAGAAATATTAATATATTAACCTTATGCTTACAATATAAAGGTATTTCTTCTATTATAACTCTACAACCACTCTGAGAGCCTCATTTTTTATAAAGAAGAGAAAAATAAAAATAAAGACATGAAGGAAAAATGAAAAGAAGAGAAAGAAAGAAAAGAAAGGAAGAAAGAGAAAACAGAAAAAGAAACCTAAACATGGACATTAGCAGCATTAAGTACAAAGCAAAGGAACTACAAAGTAAACTTCCACACTTTGGCGTAAGAGCCCTAGCTGTACTCTGCAGAGGAAATGAAAGAAGTTTGAGAGACTGCCACAGGAGCCAGAAGTTGAGAATTCAATTCTGACCACATGGGAATTCCATACAGTGACTGCTAAGTGGATGGAAGAGCTCAAGACCTGGGATCTTATCTGAAGAACCATTTATGACAGTAATTGACTTGCATGCCGGGGGGAAGTATCTATCTGTTGTTAGTTTTCTGTTTCAAAATATGCCCCAGTGCCTCCAATTGAAAAGCAGATTAGCCACCAGCAGAAGTTCCAAAACTTTTTCTCTCAGTTTCCTTTATACTCCCAAAAATTATTGAGAACCTCTAAATTGTGTCATATCTAGCAACGTTTACCATACTAGAGATTTAATAGAAAATTTAAAAATATTTAATTCATTAAAAATAATAATACAACCATTACATATTAACACAAATATCTATATTTTAAAAATTATGGTTTCCAAGACCAAACCAAAAATATAGAGAGCAATGAGCATTGTTCTGCAAATTTCTTTAATGTCTGGCTTAATTGATGACAACCAGATTCTCATATCTGTTCTGCATTCATTCTATTGTAATTTGTTGTCTTGGTTGAGATACACGAAGAAAATCCAGCCTCACACAGATATGTAGTTGGAAATGGGAGGGGTATTTTCTTGCTCTTTCAGATAATTGTGGATATTTTTCTTTGATGTTACACCAAAAATGGATAGATGATCATTGCTTGAAGATTAGTTGCAATTTGGGCTCTAAAACCTTATCAAATAAGCTTTTGGTGTCTGTTTACATTAAAACATTGGATCCTTTTCTAAAGCCTGATTTTCTTACATCATGCATTGATTATCTCTAAGTTATTGATTCACTTAGTTTATTGAGATCTTCCAAATGATGAGCCATTTCCCTATATGACATCAAAAAATTGTATTCATTAATATCTAACTTATATTGTCAGAAAAGACTTTAAGTACTAGGAAGTTCATGGTTTGGGTGCAGATTTTTCAAAATTCTCATTTTCAGTTGTGTATCAGTCAGGGTTCTCCAGAGATACATAAGCAGTAGAATACATGGAAGGGGATTTATTAGGGGGAATTTGCTCACAGGATCACAGAAGGAAAGTCCCTTCATAGGCCATCTGCAAGCTGGAGAAGCACAGAAGCTGGTAGCATGGCTCAAGCTAGTAAGTAGTATGGTTTAGTCCAAGTCCAGGAGCCTCAGCACCAGGAAAGTAAACAGTGCAGCCCCTACTCAGGTCCTAGAGCCCCCAGGAGGCTGCTCGAGTAAGTCCCAGAGTTCAAAAGCCAAAGAACCTGAAGTCTTATGTCCAAAGGCAGAAGGAGAAAAAGTGTCCTCCTCTGGAAGGGAGAGAGAGAGTAAAGAGAGCATGAGAATCCCACTTTTTCTGCCTACTTTTTCTGCTCCTAGCCCTTTGGAGGTGCCAGTCGGCACTGATGACAGGTCTTCCTCTCAGTGCACTGACTCACATGCCAATCTCCTCTGCATACACACTCTCAAATGCCCAATCATGATGCTTCATCTAGGCATCCCTCAATCCAGTCAAATTGACACCTATATTAACCATCACAACTCAAAAGCACATTTTTTTACCTCTGATAGTAAATACCATTAGTTGTTTTCCTTAAAGTGCTGGCTAACTTTATTCATTTTCAAGAGAAGTCTCTGAAATCCCCATATCGAAAACAAACATAGTTTGTTTTCCAGTCATTCTTTCAAGTAAAAAGGGTATTCGCTGAAGAAAGCAGGTAGTTTGCAACCCAAGCCATCAAACAAGTGCTTTTGTTTGCAACAACCATCTTGCTTTAGTATGCAGCATAAGTGGTTTATGTGCACATCTCACTTCACTACATAAAATTCTAAGAAGGAATTTACTCAAAAAGTGAAGTTTCAATAAAATCAATACTTATTACTGCTTCATCAAGACTTCAAGTACCTGACTCTGAAGAAATACAATGAGTGCCAGTGCCTTGATTTGGGCAAAAGGCAGTTTTACCCACCATTGCTTCTGCACAACCACTGCAAATGTTAACACGGTGAAAAAATAACATCTTAATATTACAATAAAAATAGTTTTGACCCTATGGACCCATTGAAAGGATCTTGGAGACCTCCAGGATTCCGATGGACTACACTTTGAGAACCGATGCTCTATTTTGAGAAAGAAAAAAACTCATTCACTAACTGAAATTCACACAGAGGACCGAATATTGCCAATGCCAGTTTCCAATCCACACTAGACAAACTCCAAGGACATCAGCAGCTAGGGACTCCACCCACTGCCATTCATAAATTAAAAGGAATTTTCTTCCTCGGCATGTGATTCATCTGGAAAAAGCTTTTAGTGCAAAGTTCTGAAAGAAGCCAAGAAGCATTTTATTATAACAATCTATTTTAATGTTGAGCTCAGTTCCAACACCAAAGCAGTTTTCAATAAAGGTTTAGAAAATGCATCAAGATAATTTCTCATTTACCACATATGCTGGAGTCTGGCTTAGAAGGGATCCCAACATTCCTAATAGCTGGGAAATATTAATAATGATTTGAAAACAAAAAAGCCAACAGTATTTCTTTTTAGATTCAGTAAATAATAAATTTCTGGCAATCTTTGTATTTCTAGGAATCCGCAAAAAAAGGAAACTGAGGATCCATCTTGGACAAATTAATTAACTTTTTAACATTA
This sequence comes from Homo sapiens, assembly GCF_000001405.40. Lineage (NCBI taxonomy): Eukaryota > Metazoa > Chordata > Mammalia > Primates > Hominidae > Homo > Homo sapiens. The sequence goes on along the minus strand of NC_000012.12, from coordinate 30,241,034 downwards.
AAGTCAGAAGAGGTCTGTAGGACAAAACCCTGTTCTCTAAAGAAGCTCCCCCAAGGAATGCAGATCATAAAGAAACTAGCAACATCAGACTAAAACAGTTTTTTAAAAGTTTTACAAGAGTCCCATCATTTCTGTCTCTCCTATCACAAAATAAGGCCATTTGGCCATGCTTCCTAGTAAAATATTGCCACCTTATTTTTCAGTACCTTAACATGTACTAAGTATGTCTGAATTCCAGTAATACCAAAGAACACTAAGCATTGGCAGAGGCCATTGTCATTTTACTATATTAAAAAATACATACAAAAATGCAATTTACTATATTAAACATACATAAATGATATGTAGCTTTAAATGCATATGGAATTAAAGATCAGAAATGGCCATAAAGTAATCCGAATTGTATTCAGATGATGGGATCATTGGTGTAAACTGACATAACATTGTTTTAATAATAAGTGGTTTTACAATAATTACCATAGTCTGTTTGATATTAAATGCTGCTTAAAAGTTACTATTCCTCAATTCCTGACATCATCACCTTCTTGGCTCCAAAGAATCAAGTTGCAATGGTCTTGTAGCCAAAGTGAGGTGTGCAACAAAAGACCAAAGTATTTCTATCACCCAAGAAGAGGAAGAATTCTATGACAAATATGTGGCCTACCACATCGTTAGACAAAGAAAATTCATATGAGAAAGAATTAAAGGAAGTGTGGAGACAGGAAGAGGAGCTCTTACAAAGGTTGGAAGTAAACTTGAAAATAAAATACTAAGTTACATCAACTTTCATGAAGTGTAGTATGGAGTTAAAAGTAGCAAATAATTGGTCAACCTGTCCTTTGACATCTATTCATTCTTGAGATTACTTTACATGAGGATATTTAAAATGATGGTTTGTGGAGGCTTTCACAAAGCTGTGAATTATTTGATGCACCTTCCCTTGAGAGGCAGAGTCTCTGTCTCCTTACCTGGAATCTCAGTGAGCTTGTGGCTGCTTCAGTGCAGTATAGCTGAGATGAGGCTGTGTGACCTCTGAGGCTGCAGCATCCACCTTGTTCTCTGGGAGCATTTGTTCTTGAAGCTTTGAGCCACATATAGGCATTCTGCTTGGCAGTCCAACTGGGCCAGTCCTTTAGCATCCTAGCCCGCTGAACATGGGAGGGAGCGAAGAAGCCATCTTGGAAGTGAATCCTACAGTCTCAGCTTCTCTGGTTGGTCCTGGCCGTACAAGTCACACTAGCTAGGCTCAGTCACACAGTGGTGCCCCAGTGAACTTTCTTCTTTGGGCCCTTTCTGAGTTCTTTGCCCACAGAAACCATGAGTATAACAAAATGATTGTTGCTTTACACCACTAAGTTCTGGGATGGTTTGTTGGTTAGCAATAGATGACTGAAATGGTGGAGATGAATGGATGGGTGGGTGTCTATTAAACAAATATGAACCCACAAACTCCTCTTGTAACTCATCGTTCCATTTTTTCTACACTCAGTTCATTTGATCACTTCATCAAAGGCAGCAGTTAAATGAGGCTCAGAAGGGCTTAAGGGCCAGTCAACAGGGAAGATGTGTAAAGGCTCAGCAAGTTTCTCTCAAACCCAATCCATTGTTGTTGACATAGACATAACTGTTGCCCACTCATGGCTCTATGTGTGTGCAACACAAACCCAGAAAAGTCCATCTTAGGAGTTTAAATAAGCCTGGGAAGATTTTGCAGTGATTCTTTGCAAGATTACAGTGCAGTGCAAGGATCTGAGAAAATGAAACATTAAAACGACCCTGAAAAAGAGTAGCTATCCATTCTAGCAGCAAAGGTCATAGTATTGATATGCTTCCTTAAGTTCCCTGAATTTTAAATACTCTGTGGTTTTAATTCAGGGAGCAATATGAAACTGTTCTCTACTCCCAAACCTGCCTTAACTTCTTGATTTACTTGGCTGTGTAGAAGCAATTAGAACAAAGACTTCTAAGATCCAGGGAGTGAGTGAAAGTCTAACTTGTGTCTCATCCACAAAACGTAGAACAAGTAAGCAAAAACGTGATCACCAGCTAAGTTCCATGAGCGTAGGGCTTTATTTTGTAGTCTGCTGAGTCCCCCAGCACCTAAGGTAGTACTCAGCATGTAGAAAGTGCTCAGTAAATATTTATTGAATAAATGTCTGAACATGAGAGGCCCTGCAGGGGGTGCTGCCACAGAAAAGAGAGAAAATGTCCATGAATTCCTTAGATCAAAAATTTTTCTTAGTACGTATTTTGGTCACTATCTGATGAAAGTGAAATCAGTTGAGACCATATATATGATAATATTTCATATAGAATTCACTGAGCTTTCTAATATGAAAGAGAAAAGCTTCGGGTATAAACAATGTTTTGGGTTAGATGAGTAAGAGTATATAACATGGAATAATGCCATGAGAAAGGCAAAATCAACTTAAATTTTATCTGATTGCAGGACAGAACTGCATATCCTCAATCCAATGTTTCCATCATGTAGTAGACTTTTTTCCTTTAAAGAAATGACTAAGTGGCATATAAATCTGGGCAACTAAAGAAATGGTATTCAGAGGAAACTACTTTTTTCTTATGTTTGGTGACATATGTAAGGAACATTTTACCTGGTCAGAATTTAAGCCAGATTTATTTCAGCCTGGTATCAATGCCCCCATAAAAAGTCACATGAGGTTCTTGTTACAAACAGCTCTCAAAGTTGAACAGTAACAAAATCCTCACGCAATCTTCTTCCCAACTTGTAAAATGTGGATCCACCATTATTTACCATTATTACCATATTACCATTATTTACCCCTATGCACCACTAATGTTGATGAAGATGGTAGCTACCATCCTGTTAAAGGTTTATTACATGTGCAATCTCATTTAGTCCTCCAACCTACTCTGTAGGGATTATATTATTATTATTATCATCATCATCCCAATTTTTGAGAACAGGAAACTCAAGGTTCTGCCCCTCTGGCTGCAGAGTCAGAGTTCTTGCATCATAGACTATACCGCCTCTTAGGAGTTAGGGTAAGCTTACCTCACCCACGTCCTGCCAAAGGGACAAGCATAGTTCACACAGATAATTTTAATATTGAGTTCATTTTTATATAAAAAAATAGATTCCTTCTCAAAAGAAATAAAGCTGTCCTCTTCATTCACAAGCATTAATTTGGTAAATATCTAGTTGATTTCAGCAGTGCGGTGTGTGCTGTCTGGCCAGCCTCCCTCATTAAATTAGCCCAGTGGCTGGAGATTTAAACAGAAAGTGACTTTCAAAAGTTTGTCATTCATCTTAATATGTTAGCAAAAATGTCCCACCTCGAAGTACATCAAGAATCATGTAGTAAATGGCTCTTTTAATGGACACAAAAATGATCCCAAGAAGTTCCTCACCCCTGGGAGTTTAACAGGGAGACCAGGCACGCATACAATTGGGACAAGAGCCTTCTCACTGAACTTAGTCCCTGCCAGAGACTCTGGACTGCAATCTCCCATGACATCACAAGTGAGAAAAGTGGGGTTCAGAAGTCAAAAAGACTGGGTTTCAATCTTGATGTTCTCACTTTTAACTTCGTGAATGAGGACAATGTTATTGAATATCTCAGATGTTCAGTTTCCTTCAGGTAAAACAGCAATTATATTATTTACCCCAAAGTGGAGTTGCCAGATGAAAATATAGGGGATCCAATTAAATTTGAGTTTTGTATAAACATTAAATATTTTTAAAAATATAAGTAAGTCCCAAATACTGCATGGGGAATACTTACACCAAAATTACTACATGAGGCCATAATGTTAAAATAAATATTTTGTTATCTAAAATTAAAATTTAATTGAGTATCCTGTGTTTTGTCTCCACCTCAAGGGCTATTGTGATGTTGAGATAACAACTATAAAGCCTAGCCCACTTCTTGGTACATAATAGATAGATAACAGATGTTAGTCTCCTTCCTCCTGTCTAAGAACCTTTGTCATCAATTATTCCTTCTTGGGCCAGCTTCTTCAGCTCTCCTCTCTAGAGTTATCTCTTCTGTGACTACAAATATTCAAGTCTCTCATATCCATTAAATTTAACACACACACACAAAATAAAATCTGACATGTCTGCCATTTAGCATTCTTTTTCTCTTAATGCTTTCACTCCCAAATTTACTAAAAGTGTTCCTCACTGAGTTCCAATACCTCTTTGCCTTCCGCTCTGTCATTGTTCACTTCACAAATGATTAAGGAGCACCTGCTGTTTGCCACACACAGTGACTGGAACTGGGGACACACTGTGAGTGAAAACTGACTCTGCCCCTCCTTCCTGGTGTTCACCATCTTCTTGAGAATGTGACTTCTGACTCATCCTTCTACTGATATCTTTCCTTCGAAAGTCACCACGGCTCACCTAACTCCTCATTTTTCTCTTTACTGCCCTTCCACAGAAACACATAAATCTCTTTTCTCTCTCCCTTGGGATGTCATACCTTCCTGAGTCTTTATCCTTCCCTAACCCCCTATCCCAAGCCAATTCTTCTCTAATCTTTCTCTCTCAACAAAGAGCTTGTTCAAGCTAAAAACCCAGAGACTCTTGATTCCCTCTCTCCTCTTTCATCTCATCTACCAGCAGGTCCTGTTGACTCTACCTCTAAAATATATCCCCAAACTGCCCATGTCCCTTCATTGCCGTGGTTACTGCTTTGCCTCAAGAGCCATCCACCTCCAACAGAACACTGTACAGCCTCCTAACAGGGCTCTTTTCTTCACACAGCCACCAGCTTGAACTTTTAAAAAAGCAAATCTGATCATATCACTCCCACACCACAATAAAACAAAACAAATTAACAAACCAGAAGACTCCAGTGTCTTTCCATTGCACTCAGAATAAGATCCATATTGGCTTCCCAGCCAACACTGCCCTTCATTATCTGTATCCCGCCTGCTCTCTGCCCTCACCCTGTCTCTCTCCACTTGTTCATCACCTTCAAACCTGGAACCCTCTGCCAGATCCTCGCAGCAAGGGCTCCCACCATCAATCAGGTCTCAGCTCAGACATCCCTGGCACAGGGAGGCTGTCCCCCACTCTCTTCACAGCACTCACGTCATTCACTCAGTTGTTGATGGTTCATCATCTGTCTTCCTCATTGGAAGGGAAGCTACCGAGGAGTGAAGGCCTTGTCTTTCTTATTCACCAGGAGATCCCTGGTGCCTGGAACAGTGGCTGGAAAATGGTAGATGTTCAATAGATATTTGCTGATGAATGAATGAGTCAGTGAATGAAAGAAAGACGCAGATGAAGAGCAGGAGGAAGTGATTAGGAACAAAGCCCCTGTGTTGGTAAATCTATGTTAAGCTTCATAGCTGAGTCAAAGAAGACAAAAACAAAATTATAAAGGCATTGGAAAATCTCTTGCTTTAAAAGCATTTTCTTGCCTCTTTCTAAACATTTCAGATAAAAGTGTCCCCTGAGCTCCCTCCCGTACCTGTTATGTGTTTATATCAAATGCAAAGATTAAGGAGGGAGAAGGTGGGGAGAACGCTCTCCTCCTCAGCAAACCTAAGGTGCCTCTTCTCTGTGCACAGGACTCTTCCCCCAGGGAAGGGGAACGTGATTGTTCTTCTTAAGGCTTCCCAGACCCACAGCTCATCACCTTCCTTCCAAGTGATGGCATCCAGCAGAGTTTCAGCTTGGTTCCTAGCTACTCTTTTCTTGTCTATTCTAACATAAGGCAGAAATAGAGGGAAGGAAGAAAAAAAGGAAGGAGAGATGAAGAGAGGGAGAGAGAGGGAGGTCATAAGAAGCTGAGCTCGCTTCTCCAGGCATCACAGGCTGCACTAGGTGATGCTGGACATTGAAAACACACAGGGACAAGGACACACACACACACACACACACACACACACACACACACGACTCATGGGGACCCGGGAATCTGTGACCATGGTCCCCATGGCAATAAGGAGTGGAAGATGTTTCAAGTGTTTGTGCAGCAACTGCTACTTCTGATTTTCTCAGTGAGGGTGGCTGGCAGTGAGGAGGTCCAGGAGCTCCTAGGCTTCTATGGACTATGCTGATGGAGGGCCTCACTGGCTCCTAATACACATGGAATTGAGAGAAAACAAAGTTAAGTAGAACATAAGGATTCCAAAAAAGAATAGCCGTACCCTGCCCCACCACTGGTCCTGATCCCAGGAAGCAACCATTGTTATATTTTAGCTCTTTTTTTTCCTTCAGATATTGGCCTCCGTGTTTCTAGATAATGTGATTATATTAAAATTTCCTGATTTTTCAATTATAGACATTATTAACTTCCTACTAAAAAGCATAAGACTTAATCTTTTTTAAGTGAGTATTATCCCCATCACCATACAACTACTGTTACCCTATGCACACACATAAATGCACACAGCTACTCTTTCCATACTTTGAGTTCTCTTACAATTTTTGGTTAAATCAGTATTTAGTATTCAATTATTATGACCTGGTAACTACGGGTTACAGGCGAGCCACACACTGAACTATGAGTACATTTTCTTTCTTGAACCCATCTGAGAATCAACTTTATCCACATCAGACTAGCAACAGTTAAACAATCTGATGCTATTGAATTTTGGTGAGGATGTAGAATAGTGGGGCCTAATTGCTGGTATGACTATGAATTGCCACACCCATTCTGAAGAGCAGTTTCTCTGCACATGGTACCTCAGCAACTCCAATTATAGCTATGCACCTTAGAGAAATTCTCATCTCCATGCACATAGACACTATACACTCATGTAGCATAGTTTGTGACAGCAAAAATGTGGAAATAACCAAAATGACTCATAGGAGAATGGATGAACAAATTCAGGAGATGAAACCTTGCACAGGACTTAAGCTTAATGAACTTTAGCTACATATATCAACATAGGTAAATCTCAAAAACCTAATGTTGACTAGGAAAGAAAGCTACACAATAATAAATGGAATGATAATATTTATTCAAAGTTTGAAAATAAGTCAAATAATATCATTTATTATTTATAGTATTATACTTTCAAAGTAATAAGTATACAATATACATAGGATAGGAATGATAAACTCCAAATTCAGGATCATGGTTACTTCTAAGGAGGGAGGAGAAATAGAAAGTGGTAAAAGAATTCAAATGTGCCTGTAATTTGTGTTTTTTTTTTTTTTTTTTTTTGAGTTGGAGTCTCACTCTGTTGCCCAGGCTGGAGTGCAGTGGAGCAATCTCAGCTCACTACAAGCTCCATCTCCTGAATTCAAGTGATTCTCCTGCCTCAGTCACTCGAGTAGCTGGGATTACAGGTGTGCATAACCATGTCTGGCTATTTTGTAATTTTTTTTTTTAAGTAGAGATGGGGTTTCACCATGTTGGCCAGGCTGGTCTCAAACTCCTGACCTTAGGTGATCTGCCCACCTCAGCCTCCCAAAGTGCTGGGATTACAGGTGTGAGCCACCACTCCTGGCCTATAATTTGTTTTAAGGAGGTGAATATGGTACAGTGTCAAGGTTTGATAGAGCCGGGTGGTGGAAACAGGCATTCATTATGGTTTCTCTATACTTTATGTTATGGGTTATATGTATAAAAAAATTTTAAAGTAAAAAAAAGAAAAGCTTCCATTACAAATGTTTTCTCTTGAGAGGAGTCTGGTAAGGAAATTCCATTCCAATCTTGCAGCCTGAATTTAACATAGGAATAAAGTTATCTTCACTTGTGGACGTGCATCTAGCATTTGTTTTGTTGTTATTTTTCTTTGGCCTGAATTATAAAACTAAAGGCCTAAAATTGTTCGGTGGCCAGATGCTTTGTCTAGAATCAGCAGATTAATTTAAGGGGAGTGGTGAACACTAAGATTTGGTATAAACTTGTGTGTGTGTGCACACACGTATGTGTATGTGTGTATGTGTGTCTGTGTGCATTGCTCTGAGAAGAGGATCCATTGCTCCCATCCAATTTTCAAAGGATCTGCTGTGGAACAAAGTAATCCAAAATCTAGTAGAATAAAACAACAAGCATTTAATTAGGCTCACAACACTGAGTCTGGAATTCAAGCAGGGCACAGAGGGAATGACTTGTGTCTGCCCAGTGATGATTGGGATCTCAGCTTGTGTGGCTCAAATAGCTGCATATGCCTGGGGCCTTGATTTTGGCTGTTGACTTGTTTCTTCAACTTTTCTCCTTGTTGAGTCTGTTAGGTTGGAATGACCAAGATGATTTTTCCACCCATTCTTGGGACCTGGACTATGATGGCCACAGCAGCTAAAGATGCCAGGTATCTATCTCAACATAGCCTCTCCAAGTGGCTAGCTTGAGCTTCCTCGCAGTATGGCAGTCTCAGGGTGGTTGGACTTCTTACACAGTGGTTGGCTTCCCTCAGAATGAGTGTTCTAAGTGACTGGAGTTGCAAGTTCCTTAAGGCATGGGTCTAGAAACTAATCCAATGAAACTCCTGTCAGGTTCTGTCGGTCAAAGCAGTCACAGAGGCTGTCTGAATTCAGTGGATGGAAACATAGACCCCACCTCTCTATTAGGGGAATATCTAAGTGTTTGCGGCCACAGGGTATCTGCCACCGGGCCCATGATCCTTCAGACATTAAGAACCCTTGATCTAACAAATGTCAACTCTAAATAATGAGATTTAGAAAACATGATTAAGTATAGAGTTTATCTGAGGGCAAAGCTTGAGGACAGCCACCTGGAAAACACAGACTCCTAAGGAATGGAGTCAGTGATCCAAAGTGGAGAAGTTAACTGTTTTTTTTTTTTCTTTTTCTTTTTTTTTTTTTTTGAGACAGAGTCTCACTCTGCTGCCCAGGCTGGAGAGCAGTGGTGCAATCTTGGCTCACTGCAACCTCTGCCTCCCAGGTTCAAGCAATCCTCCCCCTTCAGTCTCCCAAGTAGCTGGGATTACAGACATGTGCCACCATGCCTGGCTAATTTTTGTATTATTAGTAGAGACGAGGTTTCACCATTCTGGCCAGGATGGTCTTGAACTCCTGACCTCAAGTGATCCATGCGCCTTGGCCTCCCAAAGTGCTGCGATTACACATGTGAGCCATCATGCCCAGCCGAAGTTAAGATTTTATATGGCAGAGACAGATAACTTTAGCAGGGTTACAACATTTGCCATATAAGGTTAATACATACATTACAGTGAATTGATGGGTTAGCACTTGCTATAGTCCAAGGAAGATTGCTTTAACATTTTATCAGGAGGGATAATGATCTTGAGGGGTCCTATCTCTGGCAACATCTTTCAGTCGGTTCTCATTATTATGTCAAAAAACAAAGCTTCAGCTGCATGCTACATGACTTGGGCCACATAGCCACATTCCTCTCAAGGCTCAAAATAGCTTTAAGTTCCAACACCTTTATTTAATTTCACATAATACAACTGGTTCATGGTACGAAGGGGAGCCAGGCCTTGGCAGCAGATGTGCTAGGAGTTCTCCTAGCACTTGTTCTTTGTTCCTCTGTTGTAGGTGGGGGTGCACACAGGTTAATGATATAGTCTCTGGAGTCATACAAACTTGGGTCCAAATTCCAACTTCATCCCTTATTAGCTGTTTCACTTTGGGCTGGTTATTCTTTAGACCTCAGTTTCTTCTTGTATAAAATGAAAATAGTAATGGCCCCTTTCTCATAGGGTTGTTGTGAGGCTTGGCAGGTGCACAGTTAGTGCTTAAGAAACATTAATTGTCATTGGCCTGAAACTCCCCATATAAACTTTAAAAAATTAATCAAAATTAATCAGGAAACAGGGAGAGGGAGAAACCAACATAAACCCAGCCTGTAGCACATTCAGCATTAATCATGAAGTTAGCTCACTCTCTGACCTGTTTCCTCATAGTTGTTTGTTATCTGTTGTCCTAGAATCATGTAGACCATGTTATAAGATTACACTTTCCCTTAACTGCTCTGTAGAGAACAACTTGAACATTATGAAACATTAAGAAGTTTTTTCTTTGAGATACTCCTTCAGGTTCTGCATACTATGAAACTACTACATCAGCAGGTCCAAAGGACTCCACTGACTCAACTGATCTGAGGGACCCCATGAGAAGCCTACTCATCAAAGAATGCAGTTTCTAAATCCTGATGAGTTCACCCCCCTTGCCCTGACCAATCAACAATCCTAATTCTCCAGTCCCTTGCCCTCCATGATCCTCTTAAAAACCCTAGCCCAGAATTCCTCAGGAAGATGGATTTGAGGGTCTCCTTCCAACTCCTCACTCAGCGCCCTGTGGTCATTAAACTTTCTCTGCTGCATCCCTGCTGTCTCAGTGTAATGATTCTGTTATTGTGCCGTGGGCATACAAACCTGTTTGTCCTGTATCAGGCAAGTCTCCCTGTTATATATTTTCATGGCATTCTGAACTTGCCATTTGTAGCATTATCACAATTGTAACCAATTATACTCTAACCACTGTGTGGTATCTGCCTCCTTCATCAGACTGTAAGCACTTTGAGGGCAGGAATCATATCTATCTCGTTCTTGGCTTTATATCTAAGGCCCAGTAGAATGCCACACACAGGATACATATTGAATAAATAAATGAATGAATGCTTTCATGTATGGAGATTTTCTGGGTGTAAGAGCTAAATGTTTTCAAAAGCACAGAATTTGAAACTATTAATTATGGGGTTTCTATGCTACATGTCAGCAGCATCAGTCCTCCTATAGAACTTCTGCTGGTTTATTATGAAGAAGGTTAAGTAGAATTATTCCGATAATAAGAGACAATTACCCTCTTTGAGAAAAGCCTGGCTCAACAGTGACAGGATAAAGTGGAAAGAAATGAATGTAGGCATCTGTGGGTTGGAAAGTCATGAGGCCAGAGGAGACATGACTACAATGATGACATAAAAATATTTTTGGACTGAACCAAAGGGAAGAGTCCACAGTCAGTTGTCACATCCTTCTGTTGTCAATAAGGTAAAGCACCATAAGTTAGGAGTCACGTGCAAAGAGGATGCAAGAAGAAAGTGGGAAGCAAGAGGGATTTATAGATGGTTTTCTAGAAAGTAAAATGGGAAAAGCAGTTATTCCAATTGGTTGAGAAGAAGGAGAGGAGAGACATCCTCATCGTCATGTAAGCCAAGAGTAGGTCCTCTGGCTCATGGGTTTTAGGGCACTATTGTTTCTTTGTGGTAAAACATGTGTCTGACTTGAGCTTGGGTCAAATTGATGGTGAACTCCTTGTCTTTGTTTCACACACTGGGATTTACAAAGAGCAAGTTGAGCACCAGGCTATTAGACAATCTGCAAGGATCACACACCCAGACAGGAAGGTGATCAGGATGTCATGACTTGTCCCAGCTTGTTACCACTCAATAGTCTACCCATCATCTTCACATCAAGGAGAAAAAAGGCATAGGGAATTTTTTAAAATACAAAAAATCCCTCATGTTTTTTATGTTAAAGTTTTTTCATCTGACAAGGCAGAGAATAAATCAATCACAGACAAGTAAAGTTCAAAAGAGATAGGGCCTTGTAATTACTGCCATTAAAAGCTTAAGAGTCTGCATGTCAAATGGCTGCTATTTATGGATTTAATAGAGGAAAAAATATCAGTATGTGCTTGAATTTCTAATATGCTTCAGTTATTCTTACCATTAATAATCTATAGGCAAAAATGCATATGCTCAACTTATTTCATGAAAATAGGTGACTAAAGTAGCTCTTTGAATATAACATGTGACTGATCATCATCAACTGATCTTCCTGTGTGGTTTGTGGAATTCTAATAGACTTAATTACTGGTGTCATTAATTCTGATAGGCTTAATGACTGGTGTCTGTAACATTAACAACAAAGTGCCTCATTGCTTCGCAGTCAGACCAGAAGCACCTGCCAAGGGGCTCCACACTGGGAGGAACTAGGAGGGTTTGAGAAAGCTGTAAAGAAAATATAGGTCATTGCTGGATTATATAGCAATTTTATTTTTAGTTTTTTAAGGAAACTCCATGCTGTTTTTTAAAATGGCTGTACTAATTTATGATATCATCTACAGTGTACAAGTGTTTCCTTTTCTGCACATCCTCACCAACACCACCGTTCATCTTTTTGATAATAGCCATCCTAACAGATGTGAGATGATATCTCATTGTGGTTTAAATTTGCATTTCTTTTAGAGATTTTGAGCAGTTTTTTTCATGTATCTGTTGCTTTCTTTGGGGAAATAGCTATGATCTCATTTATATCCAGAATCTAAAAATTTCAAACTCATAGAAGCAGAGAGTAGAATGGTGGTTACCAGAGGCTACTGGAGGGGGGTTGTGGATGGGAAAGGGGAGGTGTTGATGAATGGGTCTGTATTAGTTTATTTTCACACTGCTGATAAAGACATACCTCAGACTGGGCAATTTACAAAAGAAAGAGGCTTATTGGACTTACAGTTCCATATGGCTGGAGAGGCCTCACAATCATGGCGGAAGACAAAAAGCATGTCCCACATGGCGGCAGACAAGGAAAGATAGTTTGTGCAGGAAAACTCCCATTTTTAAAACCATCATATATCATAACACCCATTCACTATCATGAAAACAGCACAGGAAAGACTGACCCCCAGGGTTAAATCATCTCCCTTGTGTCCTTCTCATAACACATGGGAATTACGGGAGCTACAAGATGAGACTTGGGTGGGAACACAGAGCCAAACCATATCAGGGTCCAAAGTTTCAGTTAGATAGGAGAAATATGTTCTGGTGTTCTATTGCACAGCATGATGACTACTGTTAATAATAGTATATTGTATATTTCAAAATAGCTAAAAGAGAGGATTTTTAATGTTCTTACCCCAAGAAAATGATAAGCATTTGAGGTGATAGGTATGCTAATTAACCTGATTTGATCATTCCTAAATGTATACGTCTATCAAAACACCACACTGTTTTCCAGAAATATATACAATTATTATTTGTCAACTAAAATATAACTTTATAAAATAAATAAAAAGATAAAATTTAATTTAATTTAAAAAAGAAAATGTAGGTAAGATTATGGGAAAATCCAAAGGCCTAGGAGTGGGGAAAAAGAGCCTAGGGTAAGCGTTGTGTGATATCTTTTCATTGCTATATCTTCAGCTATAAAATTTATGGATGTGATTATGGCATGTGACGAACACAAGAATTTTCGTTCTGTGGTCATTTGCCTAAAACCAAATCACACAGGATACAAGATGGGTCTCTGAAAGATATGATTACACTTAATCCTTATGATTAATTACCACCAAAACAGACCTTGGGACAATATCCACCTGTTGGGAGCCAGCATCACCAGTCTGAGTCTGGGTAGTCTTGGGGTATCATCGTTACCCACCTCACATGATCTCAGATCACTGCTCCTGTCAATGGGACCAGCTCTAAATGCTCTTTTCCACTGCTTCACTCTTTCTTCTCTCTCCTTAGTCTGTGTGTGACCCAGCTTTTACCAACATATGTAGACCCAGACAAGGCTCACTGGCAACCACACGGAGGAGATTGTACACTCTAGAGCTAACAGGTTTTTTTAAAATATATTTTTTAATTTCAAGAATTTTGTGGGCACAAGTAGTTTTTGATTATGTGGGTGAATTTTATAGTGGTGAAGTCTGAGATTTTAATGCTCTCGTCACTCAAATAGTGTACACTGCACTCAGTATGCAGTTTTTTTTTCTTTTTCTCCCTCCCGCCTCCCCCTTTTGAGTTACCATAGTCCGTTATAACACTCTGTATCCCTTTGTGTACCCACAACTTAGCTCCCACTTGTAAGTGAGAGCATGGTATTTGGTTTTCCATTCCTGAGTTACTTCACTTAGAATCATAGCCTACAGCTCCATCCAAGTTGCTGCAAAGGACATTATTTCATTCTTTTTTATGGCTGAGTAGTGTATATGTACTGACTAGTGTATACATAGTAGTGTATATTCCATGGTGTATATATACCATATTTTCTTTATCTACTTACAGGTTGATGGGCACTTAGGTTGGTTTTATAGCTTGGCAATTGTGAATTGTGCTGCAATAATTATACACGTGCAGGTATCTTTTTGATATAATTACTTATTTTCCTTTGGGTAGATACCCAGTAGTGGGATTTCTGGATTAAATGGTAGATCTACTTTTAGTTCTTTAAGAAATCTCTTTTTTCACAGAGCTTGCATTAATTTCCTTCCATTCCCACCAGGAGTGTATAAGTGTTCCTTTTTCACCATGTCCATGCCAACATCTATTGTTTTTTTGACTTTTTAATTATGGCCATTCTTGCAGGAGTAAGATGGTATCTCATTGTGGTTTTAATTTGCATTTCCCTCATGATTAGTAATGTGCATTTTTTCATGTTTGTTGGTCATTTGTGTATCTTCTTTTGAGAAATGTCTGTTCATGTCATTTGCCCAGTTTTTGATGGGATTATTTGTTTTTTTCTTGCTGATTTGTTTGAGTTCCTTGTAGATTCTGGATATTACTCCTTTGTTGGATATCTCATTTGAAAATATTTTCTACCAATCTGTGGGTTGTCTGTTTACTCTGATGACTATTTCTTTAGAGCTAACAGTTTTAGGGGGAGCTCATAATAGGGTCAAACAGTCACTGAGTCTGTCACGAAAAACAACCAATCAACAAGCAGCAGGATTAACATGAGGAAACCATGGAGAGGCAAAATTAACCTAGGACTCAAAGTCCAATGACAGACATTCACTCATACACGGCCACTGTCTAACTTAAGTGACTTAACCTCAAAGACTCTCAGTGTCCTCATGTAAACTGTAAATGAGAATGTGTCATTGGTGAGAGAGGTGGAAGTCTGGCTGTGTTTTTCTTTTTTTCATAGCTCAAGCCTATCCATGTCAGTATGTATAAAATTGTTCAGGCAAGTGTATTACTACAGCATACACGTGCTGGATGCCAATGGATGACAGGCAAAAACTAGACACATCTACTCCATGAGTGTTTGCATTGCAGGAACCCTATTTAGTTTTTCAATAACCAAAATAATTGGCATGATGCACTTCAATAGTATTCTGTTATAAATACTTGTAGTATTTATGTTTACTTATGTTTACAGTTGTTGTTTATTTTTAAGTACACAACTCTGAACCTAAAATTTTTTATTTAATACTTTTACAAACTTTGAATCTATTTAATTGAAAAATGTTCAGAAATTCATAAGCTATAAAAACACTATTATTATTTGGCAAGTACTTTTCTGTGCAGATCAAGAATTTTCTCAAAACTGTACAACTGAAACAAAAAACTGAAATAAACTGGATGTAGATATAAATTTGCAGCCAACAGGTGCTTTCCAGTTCCACATTTTTTGTTGATTTTATAATAAGTAAATGTTAAAAGCTTTAGTTTATAAAATAAATTTATACTAATAAAGTAAATGTTATTTATTATGATGGAGTGCCATATGAGATGACCTCAGAAAAAGTCCTATTACTACTTTTTTAAGTGACAGTTTGAAGACCAGTGTTTTAAGAAAATTTCTCTGAATAGTCTTTCTGCTATTTGATATTGAAACTTTAAAAATGACTATGACTTTGACTTATCTTGCTTGTGGAAAAGGTAAAAGAGGCCATAAACCAAGCACACTCCGAACACCGTGATGCCTGTCTGTTTCACCAGCATCACACAGGTCCCCAGAAACAAATTGAGCAGCAATAAGAAGAGAGAAACCCTGGGAGAAAAACATTCCTCAACATAGCCCTGATCCAGGCTCCTGAAAAACAAATTAGAGATCTTTTTAATCTAAGGAGGAATGATTGCCATGAGAAGTCAGAGAAAGGGAATGATTTTGATTGTAGGGTCCGGGAAGGCTGCACAGAAGAGCCAGCCTGTGAATGAAGATTTGAGGACAGATGAGGAGGATTTCAGGAAGCAAAAGTGAAGGAAAAATGTGTTCAAAGCCAGAGAGAAAAAGTGTATTTGAGGCAGGGGAACCAACAAGAGTGAAAGAACAGGTGTCTAAAACAATATGGAATGTTTTCAGAGGAGGCATAAAATCACAAGAGTGGAGAACACATAAAAGTATGGAAGGGCTGGGGAGGGTGATGGCAAGACGAAGCTGGAGGTTAAATTGGGACGAGAATATGAAAAGCCTTGACCATCACACTAAGGCGGGCAGACTTATTTCTGTTATAATGAAATGCAAAACTATGAGATACTGAGAAATTCAAAAAGGACTTGGTCAACTCATGGTCAATGAAACGTGCATGCAAATAGGCAACATGTATTTTGGCTTCAAACTGAAGGCTGCCATGCCAGGAAGGTGAATGGAGCTGGAACTTCAGATACCATCAACACTTTCAGGAGTTCCCTGGAAACATCACCAAGCATTCTATGCTGTCACAAAATATGCACGTGAATGTTTGTAGAAAGAATGAGTAAATGCACAAATTATTTTCTGCCTAACCAAGTTAAAATTAATTTTCCTCCTAGCTAAGGTTCTTGTTTGGATCTCAACACACCACTAGTTCTTGTACTTATTTTTATGTTCTTTTACTTCCCATGAGATCTAAACAACTCATGGGCAGGGACCAAGCTGTGTCTGTGTGTACCAACAGAGTGCCTTAGGCCCAGTAGATGCTTATTAAATATTTATTGTGTAATCAATATGGTAGATGAAATACTCTAAGTCAATTAATGCCAAAAATAAAGTAGTTTCAAAATGTTTTCCTTGCTTTCTTTGATCAGTTATGGTCTATATTTTGTTCCTAATTCAATGAACGTGTGCTAATTCTCATTACCCTTTTGTCTGCATGTATTAGTCTGTTCTCACATTGCTGATAAAGGCATACCAGGGACTGGGTAATTTATAAAGTAAAAGGGGTTTAATGGATTCACAGTTCCATGTGGCTGGGGAGGTCTCACAATCATGGTGGAAGACAAAAGGCTTGTCTTATATGGCGGCAGGCAAGAGGGAATGAGAGCCAAATGAAAGGAGAAACCCCTTACAAAACCATCGGATCTCGTGAGACTTATTCACTACCACAAGAACAGTATGGGGGAAACTGCCCCCATGATTCAATTATCTCCCACCAGGTCCCCTCCCACAACATGTGGTAATTATGGGAGCTACAATTCAAGATGAGATTTCTGTGGGTATGCAGCAAAACCATGTCACTGCATAATCTTAATTTTTTTAAAATATAATTTATCTTTATGTTTTGCACAAAGCACATCTATTTCTTTTTCTCTCTCTTACTTTGTAGAAAGCTGAACTGGGGTCTTCTTTTTAAAATTAATCTTTTCGTTTTTCATTTTCTATGGTAATTTGCTTTACCAAATAATTTTCTCGACTTCTTCCTATACATCTCCTAGCTTCCTGTGAATGCAAATGGCCTTTTTTAACATCCTTTCCTCAAAGAATATCTGCTTTCAAACTCCTTTGCCCCTTTAATCTTGTTTCCATGGCTTTTTTGCATTTAGTATCAAAGCCTGCTGAAACTTTTTTAAAAGTCATTTTACTAATAGAACTTTCCTTTTTCCTTAGAATTCAACCTAAACTTTACAGCTTGTGATCACTGTGCCCAAGGTCACCTGCAGTTTCATGTACTCCCTCTCTGCAAGCATTGAATTAAGATGGTTACCTGCCTTTCTCATTTGTTCCTTCTTCTGATCATTGTCTCCAAGGTACTTTAAGTACAGATTTTCAACTAGACTCAGAAAAATCACTTACCAGAACTATAATGCTGACATTTAAAGCAATGTAACACACTGCCAGTGACCTATTGTCAGAGTTCTATAGAGTTCACAGTAGAGGCATTTTACCCTTTTGCCTCATAAAAGAATTTTTAAAAATTGTGTCCTCTCTCATCTTTTAGGTTAATATTTAAATTTGCATCATAATTTTAAATAAAAAGATTTTCAGTTCATTGTATATACTGACATTTTAAAATAAAACCTTAATATCACTGCTTTAAAAGTGCCCAGTAGAGTCTAAATGCCATAGCAATGTGAAACTCCATCATTTTTCATTTATAAAAAACATGAAGAAACTCTTCCTTAAAAGCTAAGATATTTTACATCCTTTATCGGGGAACCTGCCCCTGATAGTCATGTAGGTTCTTTTCTATTTTCCCTAAGAGTTGGCTGGTTTGAGAAATAAAGGGACAGAGTACAAAAGAGAGAAATTTTAAAGCTGGGCATCCGGGGGAGACATCACATGTCGGTAGGTTCTGTGATGCCCCACAAGCCACAAAACCAGCAAGTTTTTATTAGGGATTTTCAAAAGGGGAGGGAGTGTACCAATAGGGTGTGGTTCACAGAGATCATGTACTTCACAAGGTAATAGAATATCACAAGGCAAATGGAGACAGGGCGAGATCACAGGACCACAGGACTGGGGTGAAATTAAAATTGCTAATGAAGTTTTGGGCACCATTGTCATGGATAACATCTTACCAGTAGACAGGGTTTGAGAGCAACCAGTCTGACCAAAATTTATTAGGTGGGAATTTCCTCATCCTAATAAGCCTGGGAACACTATGGGAGACTGGGGCTTATTTCATCCCTACAGTTTTGACCATAGAAGACAGCCACACCCAAGGGGGCCATTTTAGAGGCTCACCCTCGGGGCACATTCTCTTTCTCAGTGATGTTCCTTGCTGAGAAAAAGAATTCAGCAATATTTCTCCCATTTGCTTTTGAAAGAAGAGAAATATGGCTCTGTTCCACCCGGCTCACTGGCGGTCAGAGTTTAAGGTTATCTCTCTTCTTCCCTGAATATTGCTGTTATCTTGTTCTTTTTTCAAGGTGCCCAGATTTCATACTGTTCAAACACACATGCTCTACAATTTGTGCAGTTAATGCAATCATCACAGGGTCCTGAGGCGACATACATCCTCCTCAGTTTATGAGATGACAGGATTAAGAGATTCAAGTAAAGACAGGCATAGGAAATCACAAGGGTATTGATTGGGGAAGTGGTAATTGTCCATGAAATCTTCACAATTTATGTTTAGAGATTGCAGAAAAGGCAGGCATAAGAAATTATAAAAGTATTAATTTGGGGAACTAATAAATGGCCATGAAATCTTCACAATCCACGTTCTTCTGCTATGGCTTCAGCTGGTCCCTCCGTTTGGGGTCCCTGACTTCCCACAACACCCCTTCCTTTCTTCCTGAAAGAGATATTTCTGTTCTATTTTACCCACAGCATTTTAACTTTCTGTAATATATATTTATGCTTCAAAATCTCTTGTTAATTGCTTGATCCTTCAACATCACAAATATGTGTATAAATTTAAAATTTTTTTTTTTTTTTGAGATGGAGTCTTGCTCTGTCACCCAGGTTGGAGTACAGTGGCCAGATCTCAGCTCACTGCAAGCTCCACCTCCCGGGTTCAAGTGATTCTCCTGCCTCAGCCTCCTGAGTAGCTGGGACTATAGGCACCTGCCACCATGCCCAGCTAATTTTTTGTATTTTTAGTAGAGATGGGGTTTCACTGTGTTAGCCAGGATGGTCTCAATCTCCTGACCTTGTGATCCGCCTGCCTCAGCCTCCCAAAGTGTTGGGATTACAGGCTTGAGCCACCGTGTCAGGGCAAATTTAAATTTTTAAATGCATTGTAATCATATGGTTTTACATGCCAAAAATTAAATTTGCATTATTACCTTTATTATTAATTCAGACTTGGTCAAACCACACAAATATGTATATATAGATATACATACATACATTTATATGCACACATATATATAACACATTTTGACAATTAAATGTTAAATGTAAAAATGCATTTTTGGGGGCTACTGTTCTTGTATCTGAATATTACCTATTGCTAGAACAAAGCATTGAGCAACATCAATAGTATTCCCAGCTTTTTCTTTATGGATAGTTCATATGATAATTGGAAGAGTTGTCTCATAGGAATGATTCAGTTCTATAAATTCCTTTCAGAATGCCAAAATTCACATAGTGATTTATCATCAAAAATTATCTTTAATGTCGTAGCAACTGAAAACTCAATTCCTTTGTGAAAGCAAATAACTGGAACCCTCCTGATGCAAAGTGATTTGTAATTCTGTCATTAGAGTCATTTATTTACTCCTCTACTTTCTGAAAAATGCACCAAAAGGCTGGCCCTTTATTAAAGGAGTTTTTATTTATATTTGTTACTCTTTCAGCTAGAGACACCTTGCTTAATCCAATAAAGTTAGAACTGGGTTATGAAGTGAACACTCTGTTAATTTTAATACACATTTGCAAAAAAAAATTTTTAAATATATCAAATTTTAAAAATAGAATACATGTATTATATATTTGTATACAATATGTTTTAAATATTTTCATTAAAATGGGGAGATTTAACTCATTCCATTTATGAAAGATGTCTACCATTTAGCTTAATTGGCAAAATTGGTTTTCATTATCAAACCAACTGCAAATCAGACTAACTTTCTATCAGAAACTATCATTTCATGTTTTTAAATCAAATAAACTGATGGCACCTATTTTGATGGGAACCCTTCTGAATTCAGAACATTGCAACAGAGATCTAAATATGCTATTTCTAATGCCATGCTTTACTCTTTAGAGAAAGAGACTGGGGGAAATTAGGAAGTGGACTTTGGCTTTATGGAGCCTTAATTAAAGGAGATTTTTCTTGACCCCAGCACTTCAATCGTCCATTTGCACTACCTCAGGTTTCTACACCAGAGGTGTAAGGAAGGCATTAGTAAGATTCTGGAGCAGTGAGAATCATGACTTGTAAAGACAAGTTCACTGTGAACAGGAAAGAGAGGCGAGGAGAATCATCATGGTTCCATGGCCACAGCACATTCTCAAGCACATCTGTTTTAGGAAAGTAAACAGGTGGAAGTTAAGCCTCTAGGAACTGGGCTTTTGAGAAAATGTTGTGCCCATGTGTCCCTTGAAGGCCTTTGTCTGGCCTGAGAGAAACAGGTGCCTACTCCAGGTAGACTGCCTGTGGTTAACTGTGATGGGGCACAGGGGACCGGATAATTCCAACTCTGTGCATCATGAAAAGAAGACTGCAAAGCCTGGATATCTCTGCCTTATAAATTAATAACTTTAATTTTGTTCCCATGGAGATACTAGACTCTTATGAAATAACTTGGAATATAATTTATACATATATATGTGTGTATATATATATAAATATCTATAAATATCCATATGTAAATATATAAATATATATGTTTTTCACATAGCCTGTCATTCTAACTTGAAGAATGTTACACTAACTTTCATACAGTCCTTTCAAAGCATTCATAGTTCTGTATCATAAATACTATGCACAAAAAGCAAGATGTGGAAACGGTAAACTATACATTTAAAGTAAGAATAAAGAGTCAGCATGATAATAGACACCTCATGATGCTTGCTGCTTGAAAAACCTTAGGTATCAATTTACTGCAATAAAAGACTGTGGGCCTTTATTTGTATTTATAGTGATAATGATATTTAATAATTTAAAAAAAACTGTTCACTGGGATGCTCAATAAAGTCCATTGTGATTATGCACAAAGGGAAATTGTCATGCAGATAGTTGGTATACACTTTATAAAAATGAAGACAATATGTTAATGGCTTTTTAAGTCCTGCTCACCAGCTATTATTTGAATTCAAGTAGAGAGAAGAAAATTTAGCTTATACAGTCATGCATCGCTTAATAACAAGGATGTGTTCTGAGGAATGTGTCATTAGGTGATTTAGTTATGTTGTGCTAACATCATAGAGTATACTTACACACACCTAGATTGTATAGGCTATTATACACCTAGCCTACAGGGAATAGCCTATTGCTCGTAGGCACCTGCACAGTGTGTTACTATACTGAATACCATAGGCAATTGTAACACAATGGTAAGTATATGAATGGAGCTTGCAGTACGAGAAGTTGCTCTGGGTGAGTCAGTGAGTGGGTGGTGAGTGAATGTGAAGGCCTAAGACATTACTATGCACTACTGTAGACTTTAAATTAACGTTATCTATTGTAATTTACTTATTTCATAGACTTTAAAATTTTTAACAAACCTTTTACTTTTTTGTAATAACTACTTAAAACATAAACACACTGTACAACTGTACAAAAACATTTTCGTTCTTTATAATCATTCTATAATGATTTTTTATTTTGAAAATAATTTTTAATTTTTTACATTCCAAACATTTTTGTTAAAAACCA
This sequence comes from Homo sapiens, assembly GCF_000001405.40. Taxonomy (NCBI): domain Eukaryota; kingdom Metazoa; phylum Chordata; class Mammalia; order Primates; family Hominidae; genus Homo; species Homo sapiens. The sequence continues at coordinate 30,218,911 of NC_000012.12, read as the reverse complement.
AGACACAAACCCACACATTAGCCTAGGCCTACGTGGGGTGAGGATCATTAATATCCATGTCTTTCACCTTCACATCTTTTCCCGCTGGAAGGTCTTCAGGGGCAATAACATGTATGGAGCTGTCTCCTCCTGTAACAATGCTTTCTTCTAGAACATCTCCTGAAAGACCTACCTGCAGCTGTTTTATACTTAGCTTTACTTTTTTTAATAACTAGAAGGAGTACACTGTAAAATAACAATAAAAAGTATAGTAAGTACGTAAACACTAACATAGTCATTTATTATCATTATCAAGTCTCGTGTACCATATATTATTACATGTGCTCTATTTTGCAAGACTGGCAGTGTAGTAGGTTTGTTTACACCAGCATCACCACAAACCCATGCATAATGCATTGCGCCTTGATAACGTTAAAACAACTATGACATACTAGGCATTAGAAATTTTTCATCTCCAATATAATCTTACAAATCTACCCCTGTATATGCAGTTTACAGTACATGACTGTACTTAATTTTCAGTCCATTACTTCATCTAGGTCCTCAGCATGAACAGGATGCACAGCAAAAAGTAGCTCATAACAAAAGCAAGTCTGTGATTCCCAAAGACAGCTTTGTCACAGGTGTACGTCAGCTTAAGAGTCACTTGTCAGTATACAATTATATTTACTGCATGGAAGCAGAACGAGTTCATGCCTGTCAAAAATATGGTCCGCCAGGAGGAAAAAAACCAAAGTAATGTGTCCGCATTAGTTGCAAAGAGATTACAGATACCATTAAAATAGCATGAGGAAAAGAAGAGAAAAATCTGTCATTTATAAAGACAAGCTATTTGATTACTTAGTTAAAAATGTGTCCCAACATGCAGTTATTCTATAAATTTGAGTCTGCATCATTTTTCTTTCTTCCAGAATTATGATTAAATAACCATAAATATAGTAAAATTATATTTTTAAAAATTTTGGTGTCATGGATAAGACAAGAAGATAGGTGCTAAGCCCATCTGTCTCCTCACTCCACATAGAAGGCAATCCGAGCCCAAAATACATCATTCTGGCTGCTGGGCTCTTTCCTGAACAAATGGTGATCCAGAGGCAAGTCCCAGAGGGCTGGAGGCAAGAGTCCCCGCCGCTAGAGATGATCTCCCTTATGATCATATCCACAGTTGGGAAAAACCAGGAATGAATGTTTTTTCTCCACCATGGTGCCACCACGAACCAACCTCCCAAACTGGGCATCTGGAAGCACCATTGGTTACCACCTCACAAGGGACTCTTCAGGGCATCAGAGAGCTTATTCACAGCTGCTGCTGAAATAAATAGAATGAGGAAAAGCATAATTTTTAGAATGTTTACTAAAAGCCCTCTTACAGAAATTCCCATTCAACCAATACTCTGTGTTATAGGACTATCATGGTTAAACTAAAAAAAATCCCCCCAAAAAGAAAGAAAAGAAACATACTGTTCAATCTCTTTAAATATTTCCTGAGATAGAAATGCAGAAAAAAACAGCCTTCTAAACTTTATCTTAAAATGACTAAGAAGTTATAACAATCCCAATTGAGTTAATATTGTTATAGGGAAAAATAGAGTAGAGAGCATGGTTGTGGGGGCATACATCCTAACAGATATTGCCTGCAGATGTCTACACAACTAAAGTATTTTACCAAAACACTTGTCCAGTCTTTATCCTTTGCCTTAACTTGCTTTTGTTATGCAAACGCTTCCTCTTTGGTAAGTCAGTTGAGAAAATTAAGGTCTAGACCAGCACTATACAACAGAAAGATAATGCATGCCACATATGTAATTTTAGATATTTTTGTAGCCATGTTTAAAAAAAAAGGTGAAACTATTTTTAATAATATATTTTAATTATGCCAATATATCCAAAATATTATCTTCTCAACTGGTAATCAATATTCAAAAATCATCAGAGATATTTTATATTCTTTTGCTTTTGTTTTTAAAATTTTTATTTATAAATTACACTTACTACATATTTCAGTGTGGACTAGCCACATTTAAAGTGCTCAAAAAATCACATGTGGTTATTAGCCACCATTTTGGTATAGATGTTATGGAATTCCCAATACCTGATTACATGCAGAATTTATAAACCACAGAATTTTAAACAGTTCTAGCTATATTCTGACAGATCAATCTAAGGAACAGAGAGCAGACCTTGCTGATCATTCCTTTTTTTGTTCCCACTGGAATATTCAGAAATAATTATGGCAGATTTCTAAGTTGGTGATGACAGGCTAATTCTAAATACCTGATATATACACAACTTACAACCTATGGAATTCTGAATATCTCAGACTATAGTATGACAAATCAAATTGGAACAGGAAAGAGATGTTGTTCACTTCATTTACATTCCTGCTGGAAAAAAAAATTGAAGTAATCTTTTTCCCACCAAAGACCAGAAAAATGAAATGTTGGGTGGATCTGACTCCAGTGCTCTGAGGTGAGACTTGACCTTGTGAAACAGTCCAATTGCTATATGCCCCACCCAGAGGAAATGGGGAGAGGTCAGTGGACTAGACCAAAGGTCCCCAGTCCCCAGGCCACAGGTCAATATCGGTTCGTGGCCTGTTAGGAACCAGGCTGCACAGCAGGACGTAAGCAATGGGTGAGCAAGCGAAGCTTCGTCTGTATTCACAGCCACTCCCCATTGCTCACATTACTGCCCGAGCTCCACCTCCTGTCAGATCAGCAGCAGCATTAGATTCTCATAGGAACTTGCATCCTATTGTGAACTGCACATGCGAGGGATCTAGGTTGTGTGCTCCTTATGAGAATCTAATGCCTGATGCTCTGTCACTCTCTCCCATCACCACCCAATTGGGACTGTCTAGTTGTGGGAAAACAAGCTCAGGGCTCCCACTGATTCTACATTATGGTGAGTTGTATAATTATTTCATTATATATTACAATGTAATAATAATAGAAATAAAGTGCACAATAAACGTAATGCACTTGAATCATCCCGAAACCATCCCCTGCCACCCTGGTATATGGGAAAATTTTCTTCCATGAAACTGGTCCCTGGTGCCAGAAAGGTTGGGGACGACTGGATTAGACTATTGGGAGGAGCAACTAAAATCTCCACATTCCTGATCCGAGGATCCATCAAAAATCAGACAGACCCTGGAGAGAAGGGCATGAAGGCTTCTGTCCTTGGAGAAGAGAATCTAGGCTCAATGTCCACAGGATGGCCAAATTTACACAGTTTCACACTTCTTCAGACTAAGCCTTCCTGACCAAGTCATTCATTTAAAATTAGGTGATGAGAAGAGGAAACAGCCAATCTCAAAGGCTCAAGTTTGTCGTAAAAGATTCAGCATAGACAAGATGAGAGATGGAAAGAAGGCAAATTCCTCAAAGTCAGGATCTTTATCGTATCTTTAGCTTATACCCAGTGCATAATGGTTGGCTCAAATGCACTCAATATATATTAGAAGGGATAGGTGGATGAAAGAATGAATGAATGAATGAAATACTGAAGGAGTACATTTGTTCTGAGTAACATCCAAAGAAATTTCCTCTTTGGAGTTACAAAGACCATTGTCTATTCAAATGTAGTAAATAGACTGCTGTGGGCGAGGATTGGTCTGTGAACTTACTTGATTAGCTGTTACATGTTTAATATGCAAACATGAAAGTTTTGTGTTGGCTTTTCTTGAAATATCAGAGGAATCAGCCACACTGGGCCAGCCTGCATGGATAATTTAGGCATCCATTTAGATGAGGCAGGTGTTCACAATTTGCCATAGTCCCTGACAATCCTCACTGTGTTCCCAAACTGAAGCTGTCATTTATCATTATATATGCATTATTGTGTACCTTATGGTAAAGAGAAGAATGGATTTTTTTGTCTATATTGCTATTAAACATGGGATATTAAACACAGGCTGAAATGCACACTTTAAGAAGAAAAATGGAAGAAAGCAAATCTCCTCTGAAAGAGGAAAGCATTTTCACGTGTTTAATATGCAAAGTGCCCCTGAATCAAATGGATATAACCTTATACCCAACTCACTTCACTCAATTAGTAAGCTTGCCTGACCCTTTGGGCATATATACTTAATATATAATATTAGTAACTAAGAGACAATTTCAGCTCAGTCAAAGAAAGAACTGGTATTTTAGAACTGAATAGTCAGAAATGTTCAGGCAAAAGCTTGATAATAGTCCATCCGGAACACCATCCAATGGAACTGGAGGCCATATCTTAAGTGAAACACTCAGAAACAGAGAGTCAAATGCTGCATGTTCTCACTTGTAAGTGGAAGCTAAATAATCTGTACACACGGACATAGCGTATGGAATAACAGACTTTGGAAACTCAGAAGGGTGGTGGGGAGGTGAGGGATGAGAAATTATTTAATGGGTACATGTACATTATTCATGTAATGGTTGCCCTAAAAGCCCAGATTCACCACCACACAACATATCTGAGACAAGCAGGCTGGCTGGCTTTTTGTTTTGATGTAGTCTAGAGAAAAAGCACAAAAGCCCCTTACTCAAGCTACAGCTTACCTAACTTCCAACCAATCAGCTACAAAAGACCCAAGAAGCTATTAACCACAAGTTCCTGCTTTATGGGGCTAAGGAGCTCCCCACGACCCCATATGAGCAGTTAAACTTCAACTTATAGTTACCCCTTCCTCATTTTATTGCAAAAAATGTCACCCAGGGGTAGAGATTTAAAATGCTAATGTTATGTTCAATGTCTAAAGAAGCACATCAAGCCACTGCGCAAGTGCTAGAGAAACCCCTCCTATGTGTGCCCTGACAAAACCCTTCCCTATAGAAAAATCCTATAAAAGTAACGCCCATACTATCCTCCAGGAAAATACCCACCCCTCCCCCATGTTTTCCTTCCACAGTGCTGGCTTCCTTGTGCACAAGCTAAATAAATGTCCTCTTTGCTGCTATGTCTTGTGATCTCTCTTGATTCCTATCCTGGGAGATTACAAGAACCCAGGGTGCCAGTAACATATCCATGATATAACAGAACTGCACTTGTACTCCTTAAATGTATGCAAATTTAAAAAATTAAAAATAAAAACAAATTTTAGGTCTCATATGCTGAACATATTTCCATTATAGCACCTAACCAATTTTTAAAACTTCTTAACTGTCTTTTAATAGATCACGAACAATTTTTCCTTACTCTGTCTTGCTTATCATTGTATCCTCCACATTCAGCACAGAGTTGGCTTTAAAGGAAAGTTCACTGAATGAATCAATACTTATTGTATTGAGTTGGAAGTTGAAAATGATTGTCAGCTCTATGAGTCTCTAATTCTATTTGGTTTAGTCTTCATTTCTCATTAAAAATAAAGCAGGTAATAGGAAAAGAAAACAATATTTTTTTCTGAAATAATCCTAATAATGATCTCTTCTAAGCTGAGAACCTTCCAGACTGTGGCAAATATGAATGCAAATAACCTTTGCTCCAGGTGAAACTCCCTTTGGCTCCTTTGAAAACAGACCAGGAGAAGGGAGGAGTAATGAGGTCACAGGGGCTAGAGATCACCATCCCTGAGAGAGGGCACCCTTCCCAGGAGAGGCCTCAGGGGTACACAATTGGGAAAGCAAGAAAGTCATGGGAAGGCCATAGCCAGGCAAGGGAAAGGAGACATGGACTGCCCTGTTCACACGCTCAGAAGCCAGGCACTTTGGATATGGCACATCTTTCTCTTTTAGTGCTCTTTGAAAAATAGCTTGCATTTAAGTAGAGAAAAAAAACTGTTGTCCTGGAAGAGAGACCTATACCAGGGAATATAAAAACAGCCACTCCTATGGGGATGAGAGAACAGCAATATGTTTTTTTATAGGCTCTTTTGTGTGATAACAGCTAAGAATATGCTCCTCGGAAAAATGCATATGTACTTATATTAACTACATTTTGCCTGTATTTTCAAGGAATTCAAGACTACGCTGCACCTCCGGTTCCCTGAAGCACCACCACCAGACCCCACACCCCAGAGTTACCAAGTATTGGGCTCACTGCTCAACACATACAGAAAAAAATAATATGGTACTGGCTTTTAAGGGGGAAAGAAAGCTTTATTGCAAGTTAATTGGCCAGGAGACAGGGAGCAGTGCTCAAGTTTGTCTCCCAGAGCTGGGGGCAGGTTTTCTAGGCAGAGAGTAGCTATGAGGAAGATAGGAAGATGCAATGAAGCGTGATCTGATTGGGTGATACAAAGACGTGGTGTTGGGTCCTTGGCTTTTAATTTCGTACTGCAACAAAACAGAGTACCTCTCACTTAACTGGGCCTGGTCCCTTGATCTGAGTACTTAGGTTCTGCTTATGGATGACTTTTTTTCCTTCAGATTGGCTCCACAGTCTCAAATCTGACATGCTTGGTTCATCTGGGCATGCTCTGATTACTTGACTTGCAACCCGGGGGTCTGTTGCAATTGAAAAACAACTCATCATTTTGTTACATATTGTTACGGACAACACTGAACCAGACTGAATTGGTTCTGTGGTTACACTGAGTTAAGAAGCCCTGATAAAAATACTCTGAATGTCCCTCCACGTTAATGTTCTGCACCATCCTGATGTACTTAAATTTTAATTTCAGGCCTGAAATTTTAGGTTTTAAAAAGGACAGTTTGTAAAAGCCCCATAGTACCACACATTCATTGGCCAAGGAGGACTTCCTCTCTCCCTCCCTCCTCACCCTCTCCCCTACTCTTCACCAGGGCTCCTCCTCCTCAGAAAACTTTCTTCTTTGTGCAGGGAGAGTTCAACACAGCATCAACTCATCCTTCCCCAGGGAGCCTGCTCAAAAGAAATAGCATGTGTCAGGAACAGTGCCTCTAACTCACTTAAATTTATTTAAAGTCACTTGGAGACCATTTCCAAAGGGCCTGTGCACTGTAAACACTGCAGGTAGTTACCCTTCTTGAACAGGAACTGTGCGTATATACACACGGCTCTCCAGGGGCTTCTGGGAAATCCATATTAACACACGGGAAGAACATAATGAGTCCATGTCTCTCTGGGGAATTTCTAATGATCCCAATCAACACAGAGGCTTCTTTCCATTCCAGGGAAAAGGACATAAATATAAACTGAGTGGAGCTTTAATGCCTTTGTGGATGATTAGAGAATCTCTGTCCAAGTTGTGGGAGAGAACACTGCTGAGGGTGGGAATCAAGAAGGCTCAAATCAGAGGCAGAACAGGTGTGTTCCTGGGAAGCTTCAATAAAAGACACCAAGAAAGAAGCCAAGGGCATTCCCAAGTGAGGGCCAAATGATTCAATGCATCCTGAGGTTATATTGTGTTGTTATGTTGTCCTGTGTTGCATTGTTTAGTCATTCATTTCAAGGAACATGCTATGCGGTGGCTCATGCCTGTAATCCCAGCACTTTGGGAGGCCGAGGCAGGCGGATCACAAGGTCAGGAGATCGAGACCATCCTGGCTAACACAGCGAAACCCCGTCTCTACTAAAAATACTAAAAAATTAACCAGGCGTGGTGGCGGGCGCCTGTAGTCCCAGCTACTCGGGAGGCTGAGGCAGGAGAATGGCATGCACCTGGGAGGCTTAGCTTGCAGTGAGCCGAGATGGCACCACTGCACTCCAGCCTGGGTGACAGAGTGAGACTCCGTCTCAAAAAAAAAAAAAAAAAAAAAAAAAAAAAAGAAAGAAACATGCTATGCACACTCTTTCTTTCCGTGTTTTCTAGGATATTGTATATTCTCTCCATGGTCTAGAAGAGTAGGCCAATAGACTCCAGTCCAAATCAGCACAATTTCAAAAACAAAACTTGGGGTAAAGACAATGAGTTGCCTTTAATTTTTTTTCCTAATAAAGACAGTAAAACAAAACAACTTTCACATACTATCACAATCATTGTGCAACATATTGTAATATCCTAAGATGAAAAAGGACTGCCAAAGACAAAATTACAACAAATTTAGTTATAGATCTAAATGGTATTTGTTTTTAATTTTTGAGACAGGGTCTCACTCACTCTGTCACCCAGGCTGGAGTGCAGTGGCAGTGGCGTGAGCATGGCTCACAGCAGCCTTGACCTCCTAGGTTCAAGCCATCCCCTCTTCTCAGCCTCCTGAGCAGCTGGGACCCCAGACCAACACAATACCCATGCCTGGCTAATTTTTAAGTTATTTTTTGGTATAGGTGGGTGGGTCTCACCATGTTGCACAGGCTAGTCTTGAACACCTGGGCTCAAGTAATCCTCCTGCCTCGGCCTCTCAAAGTACTCAGATTATAGGCATGAACCATGGCACCCGACCTAATTGACTTTTATTCACCATTCATGAATGGGGCAGCCTCCATTCTATAAAATAGAATGGAGCTCCCACAGGGCGTGGCAGGACAGGGGGCTTTATAAGGTGGGAACAAGGAAACAGAGCAATAGAAAAAAAAAAGCTGATTGATTAACATCAGGTTACTTCAGATTTCTTTCTCTTTTTTTGTTTTGGAAGGTTTAAAGCAGAGGAAACTTATTTATTATGCTGATGCAGGTAGACCGGAATCTCCTGTTGTCAGAAAAATTGGTCTGTTTGGGGATCTATCTGCTTTCTGAATGCTTCAGTTTGATTATGTGGCACTTAGTATGAGTGACTCCATTGTGGTTTGGTCTGGTCTCTTGGTGCCTAGTGCAGGAGTTCAGTCAAAAACATGGCCTCCCGTAATTTTTTTTTTCTTTTTGAAACGGAGTTTTGCTCTTGTTGCCCAGGCTGGAGTGCAATGGCGCGATCTCGGCTCACTACAACCTCTGCCTCCTGAGTTCAAGCAATTCTCCTGTCTCAGCCCCCTGAGTAGCTGGGATTACAGGCGCCCACCACCATGCCCAGCTAATTTTTGTATTTTTAGTAGAGACGGGGTTTCATCATACTGGCCAGGCTGGTCTCGAACTCCTGGCCTCAGGTAATCTGCCCACCTCGGTCTCCCAAAGTGCTGGGATTACAGGCGTGAGCCACCTGTTTCTTTGCCACCTACAATCCATTGTCCACTTTGCAGAAAGAGAGCATTTAAAACTTAGAGGACTCCATTCTTCTGCTTAAAAGCACTCCAACTGCTTCCCATTGCAAATCAAACTGCCCTGCCCTGGTGTATAGAGCTCTGCTTCTGGCTGCAGCCCACCTCTCCCCCTCATCTGCAGCACTCTCTTTCTCCCTGTTTGCACTCCAGCCACACTGGTCTTTCCGTTTCCAAACCTATCATACTTGATCTCACCTTGTGGCCTGTGGTCTAATGTCCATTCTCACACCACTATAAAGAACTACCTGAGTCTGGGTAATTTATCAAGAAAAGAAGTTTAACTGACTCACAGTTCCACAGGCTTACCAGGAAGCGTGACTGTGAGGCCTCAAGAAACTTAAAGTCACATTGGAAAGTGAAGGGGAAGCAAGCACCTTCTTCACATGGCGTCAGGAGGTCAGGAGAGAGAGAGAGTGAAGGGGGAAGTGCCGCACGCTTTTAAACCATCAGATCTTGTGAGAACTCACAATCACAAGAACAGCAGGGTGAAATCCACCCCCATGATCCAATCACCTCCCACCAGCCCCCTCCTCCAGTTCAACATGAGATTTGGGCATGGACACAAATCCAAACCATATCACGGCCCTTACACCGGGTGCTTTTCTTGCCTGGAATGTTCTTTCCCACTTGTCATTCAGATCTGATTTAAATGTCACCTCCTCTGCACAGAGGCCTTGCTTGGCCACCTTACGTTAATAGACATTGGGCATGGACACAAATCCAAACCATATTACGGCCCTTACACAGGGTGCTTTTCTTGCCTGGAATGTTCTTTCCCACTTGTCACTCAGATCTGATTTAAATGTCACCTCCTCTGCACAGAGGCCTTGCTTGGCCACCTTATGTTAATAGACATTGGGCATGGACACAAATCCAAACCATATTACGGCCCTTACACAGGGTGCTTTTCTTGCCTGGAATGTTCTTTCCCACTTGTCACTCAGATCTCATTTAAATGTCACCTCCTCTGCACAGAGGCCTTGCTTGACCACCTTATGTTAATAGACATTGCATCATATCAGCCTATTTTAATTCTCTACACAGTGCTTATCATTACCATTTATTTATCTTGTTTAACTTATTTTTATATTTGTTTATTCTTTATATCCACTTGCTACTAGAATACAACCTCCCCATGGGTAAGTCTTTATTTTTGATATTTTAGAAGTGTCTCAGTGCATCATTGTGAATATTAGTTTTCTATAGTATATAATATGAGTTGGAAAATATGGACACAAAGACTGAAAGAAGAATCCTGGATAACAGACTACAAAGCAAACCAAAACCAACCCAGAAAACTTACGGTATAAGATTCACTATTAAGGCTGGGTGCTGTGGCTCACGCCTGTAATCCCAGCACTTTGGGAGGCCGAGGCGGGTGGATCACGAGGTCAGGAGATCGAGACCATCCTGGCTGACACGGTGAAACCTCGTCTGTACTGAAAATACAAAAAATTAGCCAGGCGTGGTGGCAGGTGCCTGTAGTCCCAGCTACTTGGGAGGCTGAGGCAGGAGAATGGTGTGAACCCGGGAGGTGGAGGTTGCAGTGAGCTGAGATCGCACTACTGCACTCCAGCCTGGGCGACAGAGAAAGACTCCATCTCAAAAAAAAAAAAAAAAAAAATTACTATTAAATAAATACCAACTTGGAAAGACTTCTATGAAATGCTTTCTTGGCATCCAGTCTGTTAAGCCTGGGTTGAACTCCTTTTTCAGGTAGGCAGTTTCAATTTTTGAAGAGCAATAAATATTCCTCATGAAAGCATCTCCCTATTTCAAATGCAGAAGCTCCTTTCAAACTTAAATATCCCAGCCTTTTATTCTCAATACAAAAAGACATAAGCCCCATGGCCAAGTTAGCACAAATCTAGGACAAATCTAAGGTGTTCAAATCACTACATGCTCACACATGTACACAGAGGGCCTTAAATCGTTCATTCACCTCTGTTTAAAAACAAAAATAAGGGATCATTTCATTTTAGATAAAAGAGGAGTGGAACACTTCCTCCTAGTAGTTCTAGCCCATGAGGCCAACAGGACTTCAAAGTTAACTTTTCCCAAAGAGGCAGCCTCCTGTGGGCCTTAAGAATGTGGATTTAGGAGCAGACTGTCAGGTAAGGGACAAATCCTGGCACTGGTGCTTCTTAGTTGTGTCGGTTGGGCAATCACTTAACCTCTCTTTGTCGCAGTTTTCTTTTTTGCAAAACAGTGGCAATAATAACACCTAATTCTTAGGGTTGTTATGAGGATTAAAATGATTACATGTATAAAACAGTAAATGCTACATAAATGTTAGTTATTACCACACCTGGTGGTTCCCAACTTTTGTGTATCAAAGAATTGCCTAGTGTGCTTGTTACCAGTGCAGATTTCCTGACCTACTCCCCAGAAATTGTAATTTACTAGAGCCGGAGGGAGCCCAGAGATTGGAAAATTTTAGGGCAGAGTGCAGAGGGCCAACTGCTACATCTTCCAGCCAAACCTAGCTCTCTCTGGTAAGTCAATATACATTCACTTAACAGTTTAAGATAAAATCCAAGGGAGAAAAAGAATTAAATATACTCCCTTATCATCTGTTTCTGGTGTCTCCACTGTTGGGTTCTGTAACACTTTCCTGGTGAGTTTCCACAGCCCAATACACAGCACATTCCCCTGCCTTCCTCTCTAGCCAGTTGTCTTTCTTCTTCCCCCTCTCTTGCCATAATCACAGCTCTCAAATGCTTGTAAGTGGTTTCTATAGTCTTCCTAGATTATTTAGACAATAAATAACAACATCTGCTTCTTCTTGTTTTTCCTCTAAGGTGAATCCCTTCAGTCTTAATCATTTTAGTTACTCTTTTAGCACATTTTCACCAATACCAGGAGCAAATGAGCTAATCATCATCACAATGTATCTGAAGTACCGAAGGATGTAATTCCAGGAACCAGTGCAAACACGATGGTGCACTTGGAGGTGAAAGCAGAGTTCATGGCTCTGATCTGAGCTTAATGCAGCTCATTATCACCTAGCTTTAAAGAAAACTCTAAGAAGAAGGCATGGGAGAAGAGGAAGAGGAACTGGGTCCATGAAATGAGTTGACATGAGAAGACTGCAGCAGTAGAGAGATGGCAGAAACTAGACATGGTCCTCTTGCATCTTCCGAAGCACAGAATGCCAAAAAGAATGGTCTGTCTGCCAGCAAAACTGACAGAGATTGCAAGTGGCTATGGGGCAGATTTCCATGGAGGGAAGGCTCTGAACATAGCTGGCAAGTGAAACTGATGCTGATAGCCCTGGGGGAGCTACAACTGGATCTTGAAAGGATTAGACACTGACTCTGGAGTCAGCTTTGCTTACCCCGTGATAGGTGCAAATGCTCAGAATGCTTTAAAGAACCCAAACAGAGGATGTTACACCAGTATGGACTGACAAACCATATTTATTCAGACCAAGGAACAGACTTTACAGCCTGTAATGTCTAACAATGGGCAGAGACACCCTCCTCAGAATAATAGTGTGCTAGAGAAGTGTAACGGGCAAATGAAACATTGGTTGTTTAAAGCAAGGGGAGATAAAGCCACAAAGGGCTGGCGTACATGCCTTTACAGTGTGTGGGTCACACTCAATATGAGTGGGACTAAAGGAGTGTCCCCGCTAGATAGATTCTTTCTTTTTCTGGTGCGTGTGGGGAAGAGGGGATGGGGAAGGGTGCTGGGATGAATATGTGATTATCGTCAAGAGGGGATGGGGAAGAGGGGATGGGGAAGGGTGCTGGGATGAATATGCGATTATCATCAAGAGCGGATGGGGAAGATGCTGATAATGATGACTATACTTTTTTCTGTCTTCCCCACATCACCCCGACTTGATCGTTTTTCCCTATCTGATTCAATGGTCAGTGATTCAATACAGAACCAAGGCTGCAACTGCAAGTGCTGGAAGCAAGGGTGATTCCAATCAAGAAACTCTAACTATGCTTTAAAACCTTTATACTAGAATTCCCGAAAATCCTGACAGGGCAGGTTACGCCCTCCCCTTATCTGGCAAATTGGTGCTGTGAATGTAACTGTATTGTCTGATGGTAAAAAATATCCTATTAGTTCTGTATCTCTGTAACCCTACCCTATATGAATGGGAGTGAACTGAGAGGGAGGTTCTTGCTAGACTGGTATTATGCCTTGTAATCTAGACCAGCATAGTCGCCAAGCCTAATATCCCTCACAAAGGTGAAAAAGCTTGATTACAAATAAAGCCAAGGAGGAATTGTCGCTTAGGATAAAGGAATAAATAAATGAGTTATGTAATAAAGGAAATATAATATTACATTAATACCTTGAAAGAGGTTCAGTGCAAGAGATAACATTGTCTCTCAGCTCAATTATAGCAGATTCCTGAAGGAGTGAATATACACATTTGCTGAGACCAATCCTGGTTTTGGACCCTGAGGAGATTGAATGGAAACCTGCAAACCTGAGTGGCCTGGCCCTGGGAGACATGCTTATGCAATGTGATGTGATGATGCCTTGGAGTAACTGTTAATGACTCAGTGGGACTCTAGGAATGTGCCCGTATCTATTGAGTTCTATTTTGTTTTGCCATAAGAAGTGTGTGGCCAGAGACCAGAGGGTGGACTGTGAAATAATAAGAAATCTGTTAATGACTCAGTGGGACTCTAGTAATGTGCCCGTATCTATTGAGCTCTATTTTGTTTTGCCATAAGAAGTGTGTGGCCAGAGACCAGAGGGCAGACTGTGCGATAATACGAAATACATGTATTTGGTCCGTCACTAGTCTCCTGCACACAGTTCCTAAAACCCTTGGAATCTCCAAAAGTGTAAGTGTCTTTTTGCATCAATGACATGAGTGATGGTTGGGGGCTCCTGCATAGCCTCTAGATAGGGCTGGTTGCCAGAGGAATCAACCATGTGATTAGAGGGTTTGAACCTTCAGCCCTACACCTCAACCTCTGAGAAGGAGAGAGAGACTAAGGGTTGAATTAATCAGGAACGGCCAATGATTTAATCAATCATGACTATGTAATACAATCTTCATTAAGAAAAAAAACCCTAAATAACAGGGTTTGGAGAGTTTCCAGCTTGCTGACTACATGGAGGGTGGCACAACCCGAGAAGGCATAGAAGCTCATTTCCCCTTCCCCGTATCTTGCCCTATGAATCGATTCCATCTGGATGTTCCTGAGTTCCTTTTATAATAAGTGAGTAGTAGTTAGTAAAGTGCTTTCCTGAGTTCTATGAGCAGCTCTTAGTAAATTTTGAATTTGAGCAGGGAGTCACAAGAATGTCTGATTTGTAGCCATGTCAGACAGAAGTCATGGGTAATCCAGGAATCTACTGCTTGTGATTGGCATCTGAAGTTGGGAGCAATCTCGTGGCCCTGTACCATTAACCTGTATGCTGGGGGTCCATGCAAACTTGGGTTACTGTCAGAATTGAATTGCAGGACACCCAGTTAGTGTCTGTCAAAAGGTGGAGAATTGTTTAGTGTGCGAGAAACCTCTACACATTTTGGTGACCAGAAGTGTTGTAAGAGTGCATAGAGAAAAACAGTTTGTTTTTCCTGTACCTCTGGTGTCAGAAGTCACCTGTAACAGTGGTAAGAGTACAAAAGGAAAAACATTGCTTTTCCCTATACCCTCAGAAGCAGAGCTGCTCTCAATATCAGAGTCTGCCAGTAATCAGGACCCACCCACACTCTCTGCGTGAGTGCAGGGAACTCAGGCTGCCTCTGCTTTCTCTTGTAGCAAGAGAGAAAAAGGTAAGATATCAAGAAATGAGAACAAAGAGAGGTAATTCTCATATTAAAAGCGTCATCTTAAAAATTATGTGAAAAGTTGCTTACCATTCCCCTAATGTATTCATTTCCTGAGTACCTACTTTGTGTAGCAGGTATTTTAGATGGTAGGAGCTTGCGCTGTGTCTGGGGAAGAATAAAAAAATAAATATCTAATGCCCGAAAGTGATGAGTGTTATTAAAGAAAAAGCAAAATAAGAGAGTTTTGTTGAGGTCAGGGAGGTGTGCTTGCTGCTTGAGCTAGGATAACAGGGAAGGATTCTCTGAGGAGTGACTTTCTGCAAAGCCTGAGCAAGCCATATTCATGTTAAAGAAGTGCTTTCCAGGGCCAGGCGTGATGGCTCACGCCTGTAATCCCAGCACTTTGGGAGGCCAAGGCGGGCGGATCACGAGGTCAGGAGTTCAAGACCAGCCTGACCAACATGGTGAAACCCCGTCTCTACTAAAAATACAAAAATTAGCTGGGCATGGTGGCACATGCCTGTAATCCCAGCTACTCAGGAGGCTGAGGCAGGAGAATCACTTGAACCCTGGAGGCGGAGGTTGCAGTGAGCGGAGATGGTGCCATTGCACTCCAGCCTGGGTGACAGACCGAGACTCCATCTCAGAAAAAAAAAAAAAGAAGTGCTTTCTAGAAAGAGGAATAGCAAGTCAAAGGTCCTAAGGTGGCAGTGGGTAACGTGTGCACCAAGAAAAACAAGTGCTGGTTTGGAGTAAGTAAGTGAGTAAGGTGGAGATGAAGTTGAAAAAATAGCTAGAAAACCTCTGCTGTCAGTAGGCACACAATTCCATTACTTTGACATGATCAGGCATTCCCCGTTTTAAAATTGGGATGGCAGGGTCCTCAAAGGTTGGAAAAATATACAAGTAGCTCCAAAAGAAGATAGAAAAACATTTATTGATTAAAATAAACTTCTTCATAAGAAGTCTCCAGACTTCAGCCATGGATTCATCTACACGATATGTACAAAACTCTCATGGCCCAGGACTATGACCCTTTGTTATTCCCCTACACTTTCACAATCCAGTGTAAAGCTTAAGTTATCAGCCTTCCTTCATTCGTAGCCTTCCTTCTCTTCTCTGTGTAACTAAGATAAAACATGGTTTGCAAATAATGTTCAAAGACCAGTGCTTTATGTTCCTTGTAAAATCAAAGGTCTGAGGCTCGGCATCATTTAAATTGAACGCTCCATCCTAAAATACTTTTTGGCTCCCCCTTACACTTTAAACTATTCACATAAGAAACATCTCAAGGATACACAAGGAAAACCACTTAGCCACAATGCCAGGAGGGTTTTGATTGCTGGTGGCTTTGTCAGGTTGGAGGCACCTGGGGCAGCCAAGGGTGGAGGTTGGGGAGAAATTTTCCATGTCATTTCCATACCTTTTCTTACAGCTTTTGTCCTGGATGACTTTTCAAGAATGTTTGTGTAGCAAACGGTCTTTGAAGATCGAGATAATGTCTCCCATTGGAGCAGAAGCCAGATTTGTTTCCTGACCAGGATAATAATGTATCCTCTGGGGAAAGGCAGTTTGGTGTGTTTGTGTTTGGTGGGAGTGGGGGTTGGGGGCGGTTGCTTGCTAAGAACCCCTTTAAAAGATTGAGGATCACCTGCTGTGACATAGACTAGTGTGGATGAAATATCCATCTGTGTCCACTGCTGTATCACCTATAGGACTTTGGGGTGCAAGAAGAACCAACTGAATCTGAAGCCCATGCTGCCTGTTCTGTCCTGAGTAATAAAGTAACCAAGTACTTTGTCTCTGGCCCAGGCTTCTCCTGTCTTCTGACAGCATCTATAAAATGTTGGCAAGGTAACCGTTTGCTGTAAGAAGAGTGAAATCTCAGATCCTTCCTTTTTTGATACCTTTTCTGCTTCCCCCACTAATCCACCCAGCGTTGGCAGATCCTAGCTACATTCAAGGGGGCTCACACAGTCTCCCCACCTGCAAAGCTTCCCACAAGACTGAGAAATTACGGCCCTGAAAACAGCATTTCCCCCGCCCCTTCCACACACACCACACCTCCGGGGCCAACTGTGTAGGACTGGTTTTCTTGCTCACCCAGAGGGGCTGGCGGAAGGGAAGTGAGGTGGCCGCTCCAGCCGCCCATTCCCAGGTCTGTCCAGAGAAAACAAACAGCCTAGAACGCAGACACCTCGGGAAACTCTGGAAACTCGAAGGGAACTCCCCAGCGCGCGCCTCCCGCCTGGTCCCAGGAACCCAGATTAGCCTGGAGAGGACCTGGGAGCCTGGTGGCGTGAACAGCTGGAGTGGGAGAGGCAGGGAGGCAGAGAGGCCAAGGCGTGATGAGAAATAGAAATTCCCTTCAAGCCAGTCCCGCAACTACACCCGGCCCTGGCTCAAAGGGAAGCCCTAGACAGGAGTGCACTTGAAGGTGGGGACGCTGAGCGGCCGCTAGGACTTGTGGCTGGTGTTCTCGGCCATGCCCTGGCCCAAGAAGTCGTTGGTGAAGATGCCTCAGCGGAGCGGGGCGCCCGCCGGGCCGCACGTTGGGGTTGTTCACGGTCGCCCACACGTCGTCGTGCACGAACTCGCCCTGCAGGGAGCGGCCTTAGCACAGGCAGCTCGCCCCGGCCAGCAGCACCTCTTCCTCCCCACTGCGAATGCCCCGATCATGCTCCCCCAGACCCAACACACAAACACCCTTGGGAACCCACGCGGGTGCCTTCTGTTTACCGCAGCGCTCAAGCCGCGGGCGCTTGAGTCCCAGATGGCGAAAGTTCGCGCGCAGGTGGAGTGGGGATCCCGGCGTGCGGCTGCCCAGGAGAGGAGGGCAAGGGCACCCCGGGGTCCCGCCTGCGGGTGTGCGGGGGTGCCCGGCTGTGCTCACCCCCACGCCCCCGCCCCCATCGTTCTCCCCAAAATGGGGCTGAGGAGGGGCACATCTGGCGGACCCCTCCCAGGTGACGAGGCAGGTTTAGCAGGTGCGAAGCCTGGAACCCCCACACCCACCTTCCAGGGAGAAAAGTGCCGCTGCTTTCCGGGAAGTTCCCGGCTTTTCAGCACCCGGAACAACAGCATTGGCGCAGGGGAGACGCTCTCCATTCGCCCCTTGCTCGCGTCCAGTCGCCGGCTCCGTGCTCTTCTGCCCAGGCTTTCTCTCACCCGCCCAGTGCTGCGTCCTGCAGACCCAGCCTCCTGCGGGGATAGGGAGCACCTTCCCCAAAGCCAGGAGAAGGGGTCTCCCTGGACAAGGACATCCTGCTCGCCCTGCCCGGGTGTGTTCAGAGGCGACACCGGCTACTTAACTTCACAGCTCATTTCTTGGTCAGCACTTACAAAAAGTCCCAGGTTCAAGTTTTGGTTTGGGTCTGGGGGCTAAGTTGGTTCCTGAAAAATTTCTTACTAGTTAATTTTTTTTTAATTTAAATTATTGAGACAGTCCGGGAGATGCCAAGCAAATTACTCTTTCTTCTCATCCAAGTGGGTCACTGGGTCTGATGATTAGTTTCTGTTTTTTGCACAAGTTTGAATACTCCTGCTAACAATAGGCAGAGAAGTGTGTAAGGCTTCTTTTGGCTTTGGCTCCTAATTAGATATCCCAAAGTGCGGAAATCACCTGATTTGTTTTGAGGTTTGAAAATCTGTGAACTCTTTCAGGCCCCTTGTAAATTACCATTGCTGTATGCTATAGTATTTGTTACCTGGGACATTTTACATATCCAATCAGAAAAATCTTTAATGTGGAATTCACCATTCGTTTGGCATTTTACTACTCAAATTTATTCCATACAAAAAAATCAGAGGCAAAATATTTGAGTCGTGGAATACTAAATGAGTGGAGTGACACATTCGTCTGGAACAAAGGTGGTCCAAGACAAGCTTCATTTTCATCCAGGTGCGGTGCATTTTTGGTGACCTGAAAATTAGTGACTGAAGAATGAAACTGAAAATTTGGAGCATGAATTTCTTGTTTTCATCTTTTCCTCTTTTCATAGAAGTTATTTTACCCTGTGACAGCGTTACCTCTTCCTTGGATGTTGGGTCTGTCTCCACACACAGGACACTGTCTCCTTGCAGGAAACCCACACTGCAGTAACTCCTCTTCTCTGCACATCAGATTAATAGACTTGTACTAGGGGAATAATCTGCCATGCAGTGCACAATGGAATGGGCTGGATGACCAGTCATGCTCAAAGTTGGTGTGTGTGTGTGTGTGTGTGTGTGTGTGTGTGTATGTGTGTGTAAAATGCTAACTAAAATACTGACATTGTTATTTTAGTAGATGTTACAGGTCAGTGTGTTAATCTTTCCAAGAAACATGCTTACATTTTTACAGAAGTTTTGTGGAGACAATGTCTTAACCACAAAGAGTGGCCCTCATCATATTTTTCTAGGGTGCAGGCCTTTTCTTCTTCCTTAAATCACCCCCAAAGCCATCCCTTTCACCCCTTTCTTACCTGAGTTGTCTACTTTTTCAGAGGAAACCAACATGGCTTTGCCTGCCAGTGGAGAGAAGTGGAGAAGAATGCTTCAAGGCAGAGAGCTTGGACTCCACAGAGATGGCTAAAAGGGACAGACATAAAAGAAACTCAGCTTGATTCAAGGTTTCTGAGCACTTGGTGCTTGATTAAGCTTTCCTCTAGGTTCATTGGCCTCTATGTTCCATCTGGTCCAGGTGATGCATTTGGGATTGACTTAATTTATGATATTAAGATACCTTACATCCTCTCAGAGATGAAACAATAAATATTGAAATATGAAACTTTTTTTGAATCTTAATCATTCCCTGATTCAATACTTTTCTGTATTACAGAAAAACAGTGTAAAAATATTGATGTCTGAAAGTATCTACAGAAGGTATCTACTAATGTGCCAGCCCATCAAGCTGTCTTCTCCTCTCTTAAAGTAGGGACACTTAGTGTGCCTAAAAAACAGACCACAAAAGAATTAGACGAAAGCCTTTTTATTTAGTCTATGTTTACATTTAAAGCATTTGTTATTATAATACTATTTTATAACTGTCTGAGACAACTTTTGTCTACTGACATCAATTTAAAACATAATTACTACAGAAGTGCTTCTTTAAGGCTTATCCAGATTAAGTCACTTAAGCAAACGAGGATGGACCAAATTCTTGAAAGAAACTAGAATGGAGAAAAAAATGAGAACAAGTTTTTATAAAATTTGAAATTTGTTTTAGTAACACTTTATTAAATTACCGCTTTTTGTGCTTCTTGTGCATAATTATATGTATAGTTCAGGAATGTCCGATATCACTAGTAAATATGTTATCCCAGTGTCACAAAAGCAAAAAGCCTGAATATAGAATCTACAGTGTAAGAAAAGAATTATTTTTATTATTATTATTAAAATATTACTAGTTCTTGAAGAAATTCGGAAGAATGTGAAAAGAAAAGAAAAATATCCCTGACATATCACCCAGAAATTACCACTGTAAGTACATAGATATATTTATTCTAGTCTTTTATCTATGTATATAAATACATCTTTAATGTAAATTTGAATTACACTATATCTACTATTCTATAAAAGGCTCTTTAAAACTTAATAAGTTTTCCATGCAATTAAATATTGTGCTATAACAAGATATCTACCAGCTGTAGAGTACTACATCATGTAGATGAACCATAATTAAACCAATTAGTCACATTTTTCTTGACTAGGTTGCCTTTCATTTTCCTTTGTGATATAAAAAAAGTCAAATATCAATCCCAAGAAATTAAATTACTCTCACAGTTATAGTATACATTTATCATATATTTTGATAAAGATTTGTCTGGTATGAATAGTTCTTTAGAAATTATTGCCCAAGAGCCCACTACAATCTTCAGTTTCAATCTTGAGTTTTATATCTACTCCACATGGATCAACTGCTGACCAGGCCAAATCCGTCCTAATCCTGAGCAAGACTCAGTGTGTCATAATCTCTGTTTCACCTGTACCCACCAAAGTTTGATGGCAGAGTTTCAATGGTTACCAGTGTTAAAAGGAAGGGTGCAGGGAATCTTTGGTTGTTGTCTAACTTGGGAGAAAGGATTTAGCCAAGAGACAATTAGTAATGTAAGGCAAAGGTTTATAACGAGATAAGAGTATACTCCAAGAGAGGAATGGGTTGACCCTGCTGGAAAACAGCTCCAGGCTGGTCTGGCTGGAAAAATAACAATAGCAGAGTTTATTTAAATAGACAGTACACTCTGAAAGATGAGTCAGCGGGCTACTCAAAAGAGAATGAGCCAGCAGCAGCTAGTGCTGGGGAACTCTAATCTTACATGATTATTCATGAAGGGATGTGAGGGGGTGTCACTTACAATCATGTTTTAGGCAGTCCCCTTGAGTGTGCATGCCCTGTGGTCATACAGCTAATACACACATCGCATGTCTCATTAGCATTTAAAATATCCATGCAGGGCTGTGTTTTTTACTATTACGATGAGGAAAAGGCTACTCTAGGGTGGGTTATTGGAGGAGTGTGCATGCTCCTCAGCAGGGAAAGTCCCTACCACGGTTATCACTGACCAGGGCCTGGTAAGTCCCCTTCTGGATGGGAGGAGCCCAGTCACAAGGCCAGAAGTAGCCAGTGTAGCCATTGTTTTTTTGCTGACTGTAAATGGGTGGCATCTCCAGGACTTCTTTTCCGAGGGGCTCCCTTGCCTGTTTATTTCTGACTATCTGCCTACTCTAATACCAGGAAGTTACAAACTCTACCATGTCTTACTCATCCTCATCTATGATGTTTGTCCAACGTGTAAGTCCCTGAGATTCAAGACAGCAATGTATCTTCTTCTTAGCTCTATTTCCATATTATCTGTTTTTTGTCATCCCTGAATAATAATTGAGGCAATGTGGTGTTGGTGCATGGATAGACAAAGAGAACAATAAAACAAATAAGGGTCCAGAAACAGACCTACTCCTGTAACAGTTTTATCTTTCTTTCTTCTTCTTCTTTTTTTTTTTTTCTTTAATTACAAAGGTGCCACAGCAGTATGGGCAATGGGGAAAGGATTGGACCTTTAAGTAAATTATGCTGGGTCTATTAGATATGAATGTTGAGGGGTGGGAAGGAATCTTGACCCCCACCTCACACCTTACAGAAAAATCAATTTAGATGGATCATAGACTTACATCTGAAAGGTAAAATGTTATTTTCATGACCTTAGATAGGCATATATTGCTTTAAAATACTCAGAAACAGTAATTTTAAATGATTGTAAATTGGGATTCATTAAAATCAAGAACTTGTGCTCATCAAAAGCAGCTACTAAGAGAGTAAAAAGTAAAGTCACATTCTGGACTAGATCCACAGGCAGACACATTTGCTGCACTCTATCTTTTTTTTATCTTTTTTTGGTGAATGTCCTTAACTGAGAAATAGAGGAATTTATTAAATAATAGACACTAAACTAGGAAATAGCTTCCCTAACAGATATGTAGTATTTCACCAAAATTTTGAAAGATTTCTTAGAACAAAGATCCTAAATAAGGTGAAATTTTGTGACCTAAACAAACAAAAATAAATGTAATGCTAAACCTTCTTTCTTTAAACGAACTTTTCTTTCTTTAAGAATTGTCATTAACTTCTAAGAGCCAACATTACAATTTTCTTACAGATAGAGATGCTACTCTTTGATAGTAAACTATGGCTATACTTATCCGTCTCCCTGAAAATCAACAAACCCATTTGGTAGGTGTTCCCTACAGCCCTCAGATATTCCCTGTCACCCAGCCAACTACTGTCACCCTTGGTCCTTTGACTCAGAAACATGATTTCTTCCTCTGTGATGCTACACTAATCAAATTAATCAGGAGGTATATATATTTTATAATGCACTTGTCAAATTAAATGATCTTTGAAATCCTTGGGGACTCTTTTGTTCATAATCAGATTTGAGCTAATTAGGACACAGACGTACCTGTGTCTTATGCTTAAAGCAGACACAGTTTGAAGAACTCTGTGAGGTACCAGATTCCCTATGGGAGAAAAAAACCTACCAATATTGTTAGAATTACTGGGGTTGAGCCTTAGCCAATGTTGCAAAATACCTTTTGATACCAGGAAAAAAAGAAAGAATAAGGATTGTAATAGAAGAATTAGTAGGAAAAGACTCATTTGTCCTTCACTGGTTCTTGTAATACTTCTGTTTTCTTTGTTGAAAACCCACTGGAAGGAGGTACAGATTGGTTCAAGATCATAGGCTATCAATAGGATAATTATAAATTGCTTTCTGGTGATGCAAAATTCAAACATGATCCTTTTAAAAACTGATAATCCTGGTTGTTATTGTGTTAAATTTAAAATTTAAATAACAGAACACTGCAAACTTAGCCTAATGTAGTAGTGGTGACGAGAAGAGAAAAGGGCATTATGGAGGTAGAAATACGTTTCTTGTTACCTGTTTTTGTTGAAAAATATTCCACAGATGTGTGCTTTCGAAGTCTTTTAATTTGAGAATTAAAATGCTGAGAAAGAAAGGTGAACGATTTTGAAACAGGCAAAGAATTACTGGATGTCCTGTCAGTGGAATGCTGGGCACTGTCTAGGGCTTCCTACTGGGGTTATTTGATTCTATATGGGCTTATGTTTTTTGTTATCTTTTAGATATTTTACAATTCTCTAATTTGTAGATTACTTACAGTAATACAACAATTCTCATTGATAAAGATACAAATAAATTTTGTTAGATGAAGATTCAAATGATTATTACCCTGGGGATATTGACCAGTTTTACGTTTGTGTTAAATATATTTGCAAATGCATTTCACCATTTATGGTTGCTTATAAATGTGTCTATCTTCAGATTTTCCCTTGAACATTTTGATTGGCCAGGGAGAAACAGGTTTGGATTGGTTTCTATCAGTTACTCTTAGGAAGAATACTTTGCAAATATTGTTGACAGTGATGAGAAAGAATTGGTTCTAGTGCTTAAAGACTTCTGCTACTTTGGACATGTTAGACCTTTCATCATGTTAGATCATGTATGTTAGAACTTCTCTTATTAACCCAAAGGGAAGTTAGCTATCTAATGAGTCACCCACACGTTTCATTCAGTGGTTGGTTATTCTTTCAACACTTCCTATTTAAACACCATATAGCCCAGTGGTGAGTGCATAAACTAAAGGGATTATAATACAAGAACTACGAATGTTTTTTTATTTTTCTACCTAAAGATTCATAGAGGCATAATGATTTGTCTAAGCACACTGAGAAATGTGTTGATTTATAGAAGTCTTTCATTAACTTCAGAAAGCATTCTCTTTAATCCATATTGAAATTGTAATGGAGTGGGAGGATATCTAGAGAAGGAAATCTACCCCAAAAGTTCCCAAGGTTCCTTTTATCTTCCTATATTCTCAAGTTTGTTCTCCCAACTAAACAAATCCAGAAAGTTGATGTCAGTTTGTCCAGTTCTTGGGGAATAACAACAAAAAACAGCTTAAATGGCTTAATACGCATTAGTTTAATTTTTTATCTGAAAATCAATATAATAGTTTGCAATGTAAAATAACTTTCCAGTAAGTAGCGTACCTTACAGCCCTAATTAGCATGATGAGTATGTGAATCAGAAGGTCCTCAGAGGGAAAAGCCTTCCTTAGGAAAAATACCCATTTCCTCATGTACTCTACTTCCAGATTCTCTCTGAAGTCCTCTTTTCAACATTCTAAGTTCCTCTTTTCCAACTGATACATTAATTTAAATTGAAGCATTCATAAGAGAAAAGTGATAAACTATACAACATTCCATAAGTACTAGGTATTAATTTTAGAAATCCCTCTCATATGAATGCTTATTTGATATATTTCTCTTAATAGCCAGAAAAAGTTTGACATTATTCTATAAGTATCTATATATCTCATTATTACCTAAAAGCAGTGTAACATTTGTTCCAGTTTTGTCATGGATTCCAGGAAATTCTAAATTAGATTTTCTGATCAATTGTGATAGTGATCCTTAGCCTGGTTTTCCAAAAACAATTTTCCCTCCTCTGTTGTTAAACAGCCCTTGTTCTTTTGCTCTTTGTGCTAATGGATTTATTATGTCTGTCTTTTATTATAAATCTACATCATATACTGAGGTGCAGCAAGGAAATACATAATGATAAATGAAAGAATAAAATATTAGGTTGAACATATGAAAAATTTCCTATATTTGACCAATTTTCATGTAAGAAAATGGCAGTATCATAAGGTTTAACCTAATAGTGAACAAATGAAGATATTATCTATAATTACCTGAATTCTTCTTTGAAAGAAGTTCTTTGTCAGTATCTTCAGTAAAATTTGTAACTTAATGGGAAGAACATTTTAAAACAACAAATATATTCACTTTCCTATAGTCCCTCTCTGCCCTGCCACCCTGCCCTTAAAAATTACTGAGAGATCATTGGAACTGGAAAGAAATATCTTTGAATACTATTTCTATAGAAGCATTTAGAGTTCCATAATTTGGTAGAACTTATGTTCCACAACAAATAAAGTATTCTGAGAAACTTCTTAGAATCTGACTTTAATAATAATAATTTTAAATATCAAAAATACGTTTTTCTTTCTGAGTGGAAATAAAATACAATTTTTTTTTGGTCTAGGGACAATCTGCTCAAAACTTCTCAAGAAGAGTGTGAATGTACACATCAAATCAAATACAACTTACCCTTCTTAACAATGTCTGAAACAGTAGTGTTTAATTTAGACAACTTATTTTTAAAAACCAATAACCAGTGGTTAGTCACAATTACAATGGCTGGAGTCAATTCCAAATGCCAGCATGAAATTCTTGCTTCTCATATTGTTCTGCCATGTGCTCACTGTGTCTGTTGTGGATAGAGAGGAACAAAACATATTTAGGGACATCATTACAGAATTAGGATAAAGTATGTATTTATTGAATAAAAGCAGCAAAAGCGATTTGACTGTGACAACCTGGAAGAACCGTGACAACATAGTCACTTTCAGTCTTTTTACATTTTTTCCTGTTACATTGTTTGACACAATGCAAGGTATTGGATCACTTGTCAAGGAGCAGTTTGATTTCTCCATGGTGAGCCAGGGCATTTAGGACTGCTGCAGTGCAACATACACCTGAGCATTGCAGGTGAATTTGGTCTCTACCTTGTAATATTTAAGGTCATTCAGAAAAATAATAGTCCATTACTCATTAAATATTTGTAAAAATGCTCAACATATTCCAACTTTAGACAGATGTTAGACTAGTACTATAGATGTTAGTCTAACACTGTAGAGGGCTCCTATTTATCTTTCAGCTGAATTGTCAACATTGTTTTCTAGACAACTTACATTATTCTGATGTTGGTTAAAACCTATTAACTGAGGCCAGGCTTGGTGGCTCATGCTTGTAATCCTAGCACTTTGGGAGGCCGAGGCAGGCAGATCACCTGAGATCAGGAGTTCGGGACCAGCCTGGCCAACATGTTGAAATCCCGTCTCTACTAAAAATACAAAAATTACCCAGGCATGGTGACGCATGCCTGTAATCCCAGCTACCTGGGAGGCTGAGGCGGGGAAATCCCTGGAACCCGGGAGTCAGAGGCTGCAGTGAGCCGAGATCATGCCATTGCACTCCAGCCTGGGCGACAGAGTGAGACTCCGTCTCAAAACAAAAGCAAAACCAAACAAACAGACACAAACTATTAACTGATCAAATAATAAGATTCATTTATACAATGGGAAATATCTGACAGCTCATTACTGCAGTGAAGTTGTAATAGTTTGGGGTTGTATATAGTCCAATTTCCAGAGAGGAAAGACTGATTCTCTAAGAAAGGTTAATTTCCTTTGGAAATCCCCCATGGCTTTGGGTCAGTCCTCCCTTTTAAGCACGCAAATGCACCTATGCATGCATGTACTCACACACACTTTTTAAAAGGTCCCCTCACAATAGTGTGCCATGTCATTTTTAGCTGGGGAAAGGTACAGGAAGGAAATGTCCAGCCATGAAGATCTGGTGTTTACTTGGACCATGTCATTAACATTTCCAATTTGTTGAGTGGTTTCCGAGTTCCCAGAGGTCCTCACCCTATAAAAGCTGATGGATGGGCCGACAGAGCCTTCCTGGCTTGGGCTGGTGTAATGTGAGCTCAATGCCTGGAAACAATAAAACAGCAATTTTCTGAGAGATTTACCTGCAGAAGAGCCAGGAACATAAGAGCCTTTTCAGTTTCCCACCCTAAGTCTCTTCTTTTCTCTTAGTCCCAGGAGGGGACTAAAGACTTTATCCTGTCCTCTCAGGTTAATTAAGGGTGACATTAAATGAAATCTCAGCATCAGTCCCTGTAATGGCTGAGAGGGAAAAAACCAGTGGAGCAGATGGAGGATTCATGTTGGGAGCAACAGAAGCAAAGGCTGCAGGGGTTAGAAAATGTCAGATATTTGCTCTTGCATGCTTCATGGTGGTATCCAGTTGACATTTGACAAGCGATGTTTCTGGCTCCATCACGGGCTATGAAACAAGCTTGGTCCATCAGAGGTGGGCCAGACTGTCTAAAATTCATGTTGGCTGTAGTCCACAACCCTCCATTTTCAGAGGGCTGCACCTTGAAGCTGGTCTTTTTATGTCACAGGGAAGGAAGGGGTAGACTCTGTGCCCTAAAGAGAACTATGGGGTAAAGAGATCTGGACTAAAGTAATGTGACCAGTGTGATCTTGGTTCTCCAAGACAGATTTGGAACAGTAATCAATTAACCCTAACCTTGAAGAAGCACACATTCAGGTTGCCCCATCCAAATCCACAGCCCATCAGATACTTCTAATTTAAAACACACAGAACTGTCGATTCTGCCTACTGTTGCCATTTCTTCTCTGGAAAACTCAACTTTGGCATGTAGTATTTTATATTTATGCTCATGCAGTAATCCTTACCTCTTCCAAGTGTTAAATAGCCATAAACTTAAAATAAGCTATCTGACTTACATTTAAAAATAGTGAGGAAGTAATTTATTTTAGTGGAAATTTGGTTTTAAATAATAGACTGGATCCTGCTCCCAAATGGCCTATTTTTTTCAGGGTTTGAAAATCATGAGCCTTATTATGAAAAAGTCAAAATACAACAGATGCTAGCAATGCTGTGGAGAAAACAGAATGCTTATACACCATTGGTGGCAATGTAAACTAGTTCAGCCACTGTGGAAAGCAGTTTGGAGATTTCTTAAAGAATTTAAAACAGGGCTGGGCATGGTGGCTCATGCCTATAATCCGAGCACTTTGGGAGGCCAAGTGGGGCGGATCACTTGAGGCCAAGAGTTTGAGACCAGCCTGACCAACATAATGAAACCCCATCTCTACAAAAAATATAAAAATTAGCTGGGTGTGGTGGCAGGCACCTATAATCTCAGTTACTCGGGAGGCTGAGGCAAGGAGGACTGCTTCAGCTCGGGAGATGGAGGTCGCCACTGCACCTCCATCCTGGGTAATAGAGTGAGCCAGGTCTTGCCACTGCACTCCAGCCTGGGTAATAGAGTAAGACTCTGTCTCAAAAAAAAAAAAAAAAAAAATTAAAATAGAACTACTATTCTATCATTTAATCCAGCATTTACATTACTGGGTATATATCCAAAAGAAAATAATTTGTTCCACGAAAAAGACACATGTACTTATATGTTCATCATGGCACTGTTCATAATAGTAGAGACATGGAATTAACCTAGGTGCCCATCAATGGTGGATTAGATAAAGAAAATGTGGTGCATATACACTATGGTATACTCAGCAGCCATAAAAAGGAATGAAATCATGTCCTTTGCAGCAACATAGATGCAGCTGGAGGCCATTATCCTAAGCAAATTAATGCAGGAACAGAAAACCAACTACCCCATGTTCTCACTTGTAAGTGGGAGCTAAATATTGGGTACTCATGGACATAAAGATGGCAACAATAGACACTGGGGGCTACTAGAAGGGGGTGGAGGGGAGGCAAGGGTTGAAAAACTGTTAGGTTCTATGCTTACTACCTAGGTGCATGAATCCACAGCACTGCAACCTTGAAAACCTCGGCAGGACCAGTGGTCAACCCACATGTTTGTAGAAGCAGTGGGTACCATGAGCAGCAGGACTGTGAACAGCAATGACACCCACCTTTGAGGCAGGACATGAGCTTATAGAAGTGGTCCTTTGGGTGGCAATCATGATACACTCAAACCAAGAGCCCTCTTTCAATTTTTCTGAATTGAATATGCCCTCCAAGCTTCTTGTAAATTAAGACATCAACTTTCTTCTTAATGCATGCAGATTTAACCTGATTTAGAAAAATTAAGAAATATAATGAGTTTTGTGCACTGATATTTTGAGGAGAACATTTATACAAAGTAATGAGGAACCAGCAGTTTTGTTCCCAACTTCCTCAGTCCATAACTAAAATGGCTGTTTCTTAACTAATGAGCAACCATCATTGTAGGATCCTGGCAGGAGTGACCACTAAGAAGGGAGCTAAGGGAGCAAGGTCAGCCTAAGGTTGTAAGGCAAGTGTGAATCTAAATGCAAATTTTGTTTAGAATCATTAGGAGTTGCCTATCAACTGATGGAAGTGATACACCGTAGTGAACAGCAGAGTATCCATGATCTACTTCCTGTAAATACTGGAGAAAAAAATGATTCGAGTCTTGGTTACATCCAACTTTACCCCAGAAAACTTGTAATCAGCTAAAAGCCAGAGATATGGCACATTTCCTTGGGCTATTCAGGAATACTCCTAGCCTTCAATCCTGGGTCTGGACTCACACTTTTAGCCTTGGCTGAGTTACTGGTCTCAAAGCAGTGAAGTATTAAATATCACCAACTTCTCCTTGTGCAGAGCATTGATGGGAAGCCCATCTGGGTCCATCTTCCCAACTAGAGCTAGAAGTCGGAGGACAGGCTGGCCACCAGGCAGAAGCAGAGTGGATTTTGGAAGCTCTGGCTGGATGTCCAGAGCTGTGGGAAGCTCATGAACACTGGCCAAACGTCATGATGTTTTTCCGGACAGAAGCTCTGATTGTGCTGGCTCAGCCTCCCATCTCTATTTAACTTTCTTCCCAGCGTTCCCTCCAGGCCTCTACTGGTAGTGGTGCTCCCTGGACTGACTGCTTCCATTAAATGAGTTTCAGATGGTGATTTTCAGTCTAAATAGATGAGTGAGCATTTCCCGAAGATGCATCTCATTTTGCTAACATCACTAATGTCTCTGCTTTTTTACATCCAATCCATCATTGCACTTCATCTGTGCATTTTATTAATGAGCCATTCACTTGCTTTTCAAGATTGTTAGTGAAGATGTCAAAATTCTGACTGGACCTCATACCAATTCCCATGGCTTGTTGCAGGCTGCCCTGGCAGCTCCCACACTAGGTATTTTTCACTCCCCTTCGAATTCCTTCATTATCACCAGCCAGTTTTAACACACATTTTGTTATCTCACTTTTAAACACTTTTTTTGGTGTTGTAGATATTAATGTTTACCCAAGTAGCTCCTATTTTGCTTGGAAGGGACAGATGGCTACACGTCGTATAGGCACAACCTACACAAAAACGAAATCCCAGACTCCTCCAAGTACATGGTGCAGGCTGATGGACTCATTCACTTTTGTTTATCAAAGAACAGTGAAGTTTATGTCCTTCCAGCATCACACTTGTCTACAGATATATCTTTTTTACTTGGCAGAAGCTTTTGATTTTGGTCTACTGTCTTGACCAGCTCTGGGGATATTTTATGAATATTAGTGGGTTTGGATGGCTGGGAATCTAACACAGATGGCTAGCATTTAACTTTGGATAAGCCAAAGGTCTTATGGCAGGAAAAGCAGGGATTGCTTGCTGGGCTTTACTTGCTGGCCTTCACTCACTCTCAGTATCGATATGGTTCTAATTTTGTGGCTTAAGTAAAAGGAAATAATACATTAGATGATGTTGGTTTTCTTTTCTTTGTGTTTGTTTGTTGCTAGGTACAGAAAGCATTCATATTCCAGGCAAGCCTCATCAACTTTTTCATCTTTGCCATGCAGTTTCCTTTGACATGATCACTGGAAGTATCTTTCTTTCCCCCATTAAAATGATTTCTTTTAAAAAACTTAGTATAATGAAAGCTGGATATAAAATTATATCTTGCTATCATGTTAACATATAAAAATATGCATTTGGACACAAACTGAAAGAAAAAAGAAAAAGAAAAGCTTGATTTGTCGAAGAATAATTGCGGGTAAATTGGTCTTTATTTTAGAATAATTTCCTTTGGCATCGTAACAACGTTATTTATGCAGTATATTCATATATTTCATGTTACAATATGTTCTTCCAAAACTATGAAAATCAGAGGTGTTTAGAAATCTCTTTAGGGAAAAATTTTTCCTTCTGCTTAGAGCCCAAACTGAAAATGGATCTACCATTAGCCATGCACTGTAGAATTGCCTGAGCAAAACCATTAAACATTTCCCAGACAACAGAATCTGGAAATCTACTGGACTAGCACTGCATGCTAAGTATCATGGGGGCTATACCACGTGATCAGTAAATCAAACCCGAATGTTAGGTATCTTCTCTGTAATGACTTTGTATGTATGTTCCAGAAACAGTGATGCTTACTTAAATCTGCTGACTAGTATAGTTAGTGTAATGCAGTGTAATGTAATATAGTATAGTTTATATAAATAATATATTGCAGTATAGTATATAACATTTAGTGTGGTATATTGTGCTATAATATAGTATGGTATAGTGTAGTATAGCATAGTATAATATAGTGTAGTGTCACATAGTATATTGTAGAGTGAAATGGTATAGAGTGGTATTGTCTAGAGTAGTATAGTATAGTATAGTATAGTATAGTATAGTATAGTATAGTATAGCATAGTATAGTATAGTATAGCGTAATATAGAACACTATAGTAGAGAGCTGCATAGCACCTATATAACATAGTACTTAAAAAATGATTTTGGAATCACAGGGCTAGCTTTGAATCTTGTTCCTACCACATAATAGGTGTATGATCTTGAGCATATTACTTTATGTCCCTGAGCCTCAGTTTCATCATCTAAAAATGAGGACTGAAAATACTTACCATGTATTGTGAGAATTAAGTTGTGAGGGAGTGAAAATTATGTACGTAAGGAGTAAGTGCTGACAGTTAATAAACTCAGCACTCTCCTTTTCATGGATCTCGCTGACAGAGGGGCAAGAGATGAAGCTCCTAGCTTTAAGAAAAGTACCTTGCTAAAAGCATCACATAAGGCTTGGCTAAGATAAGGAGGCGTTGGGTAATGCATATTCATTTCTTAAGACTAGAGTCCTAAGTGAAACTCCAAATCAGTTGCTATGTTTTCAAAGATAGGAGCTGTCCCTAGAAGGATATGAAGCTATCAAACCCTAGTACTATTGATGAAAACAGGAGAGAAGAGTTTTAGAGTGGTTCATAAATCATAAACAGCTGTAGTGCTTTATATCTGGGAAAAAGCAGTGCTAACACCAAAAACAAGTGTACCTGTTTTAGTTTGTGATTTTCTCTTCCAAAACACCCAAGTATAAAAGATCTAGATGCACTGAAAGATCTGCTCCCTGCAATTGCAAAAGGAGGGGATATTGAGAACCAGAAGTGAAATGAAAGCCCACTGGAAAATACAGTGGATTCAAATAATCAAAACATTACAGTGTAAAAATAAATTTGACACAAATTTCTTTCTGCCTTGATTATGACAATGACCTTGCCTCTGGCTGACTTTAAAATGTCTCAGATTTAGAGGTGCTTGTCAAAGATGTTTGTATGCATAAACAGAAGAATCTCTGTGGCCCGGCACAATGGCTCATACCTGTAATCCCAGCACTTTGGGAGGCTGAGGTGGGCAGATCACTTGAGGTCAGAAGTTTGAGACCAGCCTGGCCAACACAGTGAAACCCTGCCTCTACTAAAAATACAAAAATTAGCCAGGTGTGGTGGCGCACACCTGTAATCCCAGCTCCTCTCGAGGCTGAGACATGAGAATCGCTTGGACCTGGGAGGCGGAGGTTGCAGTGAGCCGAGATTGTGCCACTGCACTCCAGCCTGGGTGACAGAGAGACACTCCGTGTCAGAAGAAAAAGAATTTCTGTGCCCCAACTGAAAAGAAAACCATCTCTAAAGGAACACATAAGGGTCAAGAACACACAGATGATGGACGTGAAAGAGAAAATACAGGTGTTATAAATTGGGAGTCAATTTAATCTTTTAAAATGAGTTGTAATGAAAAGCATATTGAAATGGGGATCAGAAGACTGGATTCAACACTTGATTGACATATTCTAGTGTTGTGATCTTGAGAAAGTTTATAAGTTGTTGTTTCCATGGTGTATTACAGAGAAAATATGATTGCCCTTTCCTATTTTCCAGGAGAATTGTGATGATCAAATAAGACCATGCATGTAAAACTACTGTGAAAAGTGAAAATGCTGCTATTTAAAAGAAGAGGTGAGAGGCTGGGGAGAAAGTGGAAAGAGCAAGGGCTTTGGAGTCAGACAGGCCTTTGTTTTCATAGTGACTCTACGTCTTCTCTTAGTAGTTTTGAGACCACAGGAAAGTCACTTAACCTTTCTTGCCCTCAGTTTCTTCATACATTAAAATGTATTTAATAAACACTACTTCACCATTGTTTTAGGGATTAAGAGAGGTAATGTATGTAAACTCAGACATTTTTGTTTGCTGTTAAGTTATTCATGCCTCTGAATATGTTGGGTCTTTATCTTAATCATACAAGCATTTAAATTTGGAGAGGCCGAGTGGCCGGCCCAAGTTTACGGAGCCGCATACCAGCAGATGTAGACTTCTTGGTGGAATATTCTTGGTCATATTAACAAATTTGTGTTGAAATGTTAAGACCTTGAAAATACCTGTTTTGACTCAAATTATGATGATTATAGCCCCCATGAAAACAATGAAAAAATACATCTGACAATTTAACACTCAGAAATACTAGGAAGCTTGGAGTATTTTAGAGGGTTTTTTTCTCTTATGTTGGACAATTTTCCTGCAGCTACATTTCAACTCAGCTTCAAATGTACTCTTTTGTTGCTACAGATAAACTTTTCTAGTGTTAAAAAAATTAACATTTTTTTAAAAAGGGAAGAGGTTAGTGAGATTCAAATAGCTTTCGATTTCCTAAGCAAACCAGATATATATAAAAATGCTCTGAAGGGTTTGCAACTCTTTGGGTGACTGGGACTGAGACCTATCTAGTATCCAATTAAAATAGTGTATCTTATATCCTACTGACAACTCCGTATTTCAGGCCACCGTCAATCACTGTTACCAGTGGGGAGAGGAGAGAAAGAGGAAGGGATGCAGTATAAGTCCAGGTGTTCAGTCCTATATTTTGAATTATAACATAAATACCAAGTTATCAAAATATATGTTCTTGTTTCTGTAAATAAAAAATTGGAGAAATGTTACTTCTCGTTCACTTCTATTTTTCTTTAATTCTCATTTACTCAATAAAAGGTCTAATGAAACAAAAGGCCCGTTTCGTTTATCTCACATTCCAAATTTACAAGCTATTCTCCCTTTGCCTTTATAATTAACTGTCACACAAAGGCTATGCATACGATGAGGGCTTGGACTATGTCTTCTTCAACTTTTGGGTCTCCAGAACCCACCATTCAGCATGTACTTAATAAATATCTGTTGGAGAAACAAACAAGTGAATTTTTATGCTCAAAACCAGGCATCTGCAGCTATGGACTGAATTGTGCCCCTCTCCAAAATTCGTATGCTGAAGCTCTAAATCCCAATGATGCTGTATTTGGAGATGGGGTTCTTAGGAAGTAATTAATGTTAAATGAAGTTTTAAGGGTGGTGTCCTAATCTGACTAAGTTGGTGGCTTTATAAGGAAAAAGAAGAAGAGTGGGCACTCTCTCTCCACTTGCATGCCACCAAGAAAATGCCCTGTGAAGACACAATGAGAAGGCAGAGTCTGCAAGTTAGGAAGAGAGCCTTCACCAGAACCTCACCATGCTTGTATCCTGACCTCAGACTTCTAGCTTCCAAAATTGAGAAAATAAATTTCTATTGTTTATAACAGTCTGTGGTATTTTGTTATGACACTCCTATCAGACTAAGACCAAAAGTAAATACTGAAGTATTTATCTCAAAGAAAAATGAATCATGTACAAATATACATATTTATATTCATCTCATATGCATAGAAAATAAAGATAGCTAATTTATTAAATGTATCAAGTGTGAATATAATAAAACTAATTACAAATATCACATAAAAATGCATCTAACAATGAGAGTAGAACAAGTGAAACTCTTGGTCAGTAATTTAAAATACAGTTTCACCTAAGCAGCCAAATAGATGCTAAATCATCAAGGTAATGCATCTGCTTCCTACTGAGATAATTCATTTTTAATTCCTAACAAGATGCAAGGTTTTTGAAGTTCAGGAATAGCAGCAAACTGAAATACACTCTCTCTCACACACACACACACACACACACATACACACACACACACACAAACATACATTTTAAAAAGGAACTTTTCACATTAATTAATGTTTAAAAGATACAAATACAAGTTAGTACTACCTCTATGCTCCTAAAAAACCTTGTATCTTTCTAATTCTTTCAGCACCATAGAGAATCTCTTTCTTAAATATAATTTTCAGCTTTTTGGTGTATAATTTACATGTGATAATTTTACTATCATATGTACCTCTTTAAATGTACAGTTCCGAGTTTTCACCAATGCATACCCCCATGTAAACTCCACTCCAATTAAAACAGGATAGTTCCCTTAACCCCTTCGTGGGACTCTTGAAGGGGTGGCTCACTTACTCAGCTTGCAGCTCTCAAACCCCTGTGGCAGGGGCACATGCAAGTGAGGAGATTCAGAAGCCTGGATGAGTGCTTCTGGGCGCTGGCAAGAGTAGAACTCTGCACTGCTCTGTGGCAGCATCTGGGGATTGCTGTGATCCCTGGAGTCCCAGAGGGTGTGTGTTACAGTGAGCTTCCTTAGCTTTGCCATCCGTGGACAGCTTAAGTGTTAAACAGCTCAGTGGGGGATCAGTGTGACAGCCTCTTGCACCCACACCCAGGTCCTTGTCTGGCATCCAGGAGGAATGAGGTTGTGCAAACAAATTGGAGGGTGGTGAATGTGGAAGATTTTATTGAGTGGCAGAAGTGGCTCTCAGTTAGATGGGGAGCTGGAAAGGGAATGGAGTGGGAAGGTGGTCTTCCTCTGAAGTTTGGCCATCTCTGGCCAAAACTCTTCTCTGACTGTCCCCAGCTGAACTCCTCTCCAACTGTAGTCTCTGATATCCAGCTGCTTCTCCTCTTGACGTTCAGATGCTTCTCTTCTCTCCTTCTCTGCCATGCTGCTCTGCCACTTCTGCTGCCCTTCTGCCAGTGGAACCTGGGGTTTTTATGGGTATAGGATGGGGGACAGGGCAGGCCAGGGTGGTTTTGGAAAAGGCAACATTTGGGTGGGAAAACAGGAATGCATGTTCTCACTTAGGGTGGTGGTTGCAGGCTTGAGGGTGAAGCCCTCTCTAGGGACCCCACCCTTTTCTACCAAGTATTTCCCTGCCTCCTGTTCATATCACAATAAAGATATAGAACATTTGCATCACCCTAAAATGTTCCCTTATGCCTGTTTGTATTCTATCCCTCTCTCTTTACCCCTTAAAACCAGCAGTCTGCTTTCTGTCATCATGGATTAGTTTTGTCTCATCTAAAATTCATACAAATGGAATAACGTATTATGTACTCTGTGTCTATCTTCTTTCATGTTGCATAATGTTTTTAAGATTTATCTGTATTGTCATGTTTGTTAGTGGTTGGTTCTACTTTATTGCTGAATAGTATCTCATTCTTCCAATGGTAAAAATTATCTTTCCCATCTACATTGACATATTTACTCATTTGTTTTATCTTTTGAAACAAAAAAAATTTCTGAATTATCTTGTTCATTAACTTATTTTGATTATGTTTCTTACTATTTTCTAATTGAAGGGTAGAAATTTACAGTAAGGTTTGAGAAGTGGTCTTAAAGGACAACTGTGACTGCAAACATAGGATCAGTGAGTGCCAAGACAACTGAGCTTGGCTTTGATGATTTTCTGGAGATATGACCACTCTAGTCTTCCTAAGTTGGGGTACTTTGAGGTAGCTTTTGTTTGACTCAGGTGGCTTCATAGCATTGCTATTATATTAACATTTTGACACCAAGCATGTAAACTGCTATAATAAAAATAGGTTCCACATATTAAAGCCTTTTATTCTGTGTGTGGCTAAGCACTGTATACTTGATTTCACTTAATCCTTATAACGTCCTGCAAGTCACCTAATGTCTACCAGCTGTCATGAAGTTCACATTCTGAAGAGGAAACCAGACATTAAAGAGGGTCTGATAGTTGTTATGCTAAGACTGGGAACTATGAAAACATATATTAGGGAGAGCTAATCTAATCTAGGGGGAACTAAGTCCTTGCTGAAGAAGTAATCCCTCAGCTGAGACTTCGAAGACAAGTAGGGTTAGTCAAAACAGAAAAGAGAGTTCCAATGTAAATAACAGGTATGCAGGCTTGGAGGTGAGAAGGGCCTTGGCAGGTAGGAGGAACTGATAAACATACTTGTGTATTTGGAATCAAGAACTGGAGGCAGAGAGGAGCCAACTGAGCCACACAGTGCCTGAGCTGTGGAGACCTGTAGTTTAGAATAATAAGTTTTGAATCCTGTTCACTCTGGAATGACAGTGATTTTAGAGAGGAACCTATGTAACACAATTCAGAGAAGTGAATTCCAGTGGGTTGGTAAGAGAATTGAGAGGGGAAAAAGTCCAGTGGTTTCTCAGGTTGATCATCTGGAATAACAAGATGTCAATTTATTTATGACATTCACTTTATACATTACTTTATTATTAAAATTCTAGTTAATATTCTTCACCCTCAGGAAATAATTCTTGGTTTTACAGGTGGACTTTCTGAGGTAGAATTCAGAGGGCATATGTAGCGTGAGGATTGGATTCTATCATTATGTTCTTTAGCTAAAAAGAGTTTAATTTGCAATGTTGTTAATCTGATAGTTTTCATATACAATATTTTATTTTTACAAGTTAATGGTTACCATACAGAAC
Organism: Homo sapiens; assembly: GCF_000001405.40. NCBI lineage: Eukaryota > Metazoa > Chordata > Mammalia > Primates > Hominidae > Homo > Homo sapiens. Next base: position 30,181,014 of record NC_000012.12, on the reverse strand, counting down.
ACTTCTGTGTCCAAAATCCAAGAAATTGATTAAGAAACAGTCAATGATAAATATCTGTGTGTTTTAAGGGCAACATTTACATTGAAAATTGCATTTCTGCTTTGCATTTATTGTAAGTGAATAAATCCAGTATTGTAAATTCTCAAGACAATTGCAGGGAGACCAAAGCAAGTTAGGTCATTAATCATACTGTGAAACCAGACACAGCAGAAAAGAAATTGAAATGAAACTCACTGAACCAAAATAACACCTACTGAAAAATGTGTGGATTTCCTGGTCACATAGGAAATTCAAGTAATGTGTTTCTTAACTCTGTCCTGACTTAGAATAGCAATAATGAAAAAAAAATGATAATGTTCTTACAAGGAACAGGTTAAGACTTAAGAGAATATGTTTTATATGTTAAAATTGCTCTTAAAGTTAAGATGACGTTATCATTTGCATTGGTGTAACTACAATTTTATAATTGCTATAATATTGTGGGAGTTAAAGTATAGACAAAACACTGAAAATTGGGTCTTTGAGTTAATGACAGTATCACAAAATGTTTACCTAAGACTATGAGTAATATAACAATAAAATGTTATATGTAACCTGACATTATTGGAATAATAAAGCATTAGAGAAATGGACATTTAAAGATGCTCATCACCAGTGAGCTACCAGTTTAACAGAAATTTTTTTGTTGTTGCTAGAAAAGATTTCTAGTTATACATTTAGGTTTTAAAAGTATCATAAATGTATAACAACTCCATAAAATTAGAATGATCTTGTTACAACTGTAGTTTCTTTGAAATTCCAGATATTTAAGGTATGAAAGTAGTAACCCCAAAATACTTTATTTCCTTCTTGCTCCCATTCTTGTTGTCTCATAAGGCCGATGAAACCATTCTTAGTATTTTTCGTTTCCTGTTTTGTTGCAATGGTTTCTACGGACTGACCCCCAGCTCCACTTCCCTCTGACAGGCCCACAGGCCCATTCGGGTCTCTTGTCAGCCCCTTCCTGCAAGGCAGCCACAGCACTCTGGCTGGCTTCTCCTCTGTTTTCTTTCTTGTTAGTGTGCCCTATATCCATCGGTAGAATTAATTTTCTCAAATGGGTTTTATCATGCCATTTCCTTGGTAGAAAGTCTACGGAGGCTTGTTTTATTACATAAATCTCAACTCTTCTACCTGCCTTTGGAATCTCTACTACTCTTCTTTCTTCTTTTCACCCACGTTCAATACTTATTCTCTAACATGAATGAGCTATAAGTTTCATGAATTCAATCAGAATAGGTATTCAGGAAAAGACAACTTCAGACAGTGTTTTGGAAAGATCATTCTGGATCAGGGCTGTGTGTGCCAAGAAAAGCCATGAAGCTTTCTGTTGAGGCCAGTGCAGGAGGCTTACGGGGAGGTGACAACAATTTCAAGCAGGAACTTGGCAGCGGAGATAAAGTGAAATAAATGGTTTTGCGATCTATTTAGCAGGTGTGTTTCCCCTATGCCTAAATTTTCTACCAATCTTTTTACTTAGAAATGGAAGAGCTCTTAGAAAATGTCCTATTCTATTCTCTCATCCACAGATTTAGAAATGTAGGGACAGTGTGGGGGAGGTGACAGTTCATTAGTGCTAGTTCCAGAATCAGAGCCTGGGTCCCCAAACTCCAAGGTCAATGCCTTTTTGCCTGGATCACAGACTTTTCCCCAGTACAACAATGTGTGTTTTATCTCAAGTAAAATTTATGCTACTTGAGGGAGTGGCCCCTCCTCTGGTGATTAGCCCATTGCTCAGCCAGAAGGCTTGTACCGAAATGCCTGCTGCCACACTGATAATATGGAAATGGAATCCGATGTTTTATGTTACAAATTAGATTAAATGGATTTATGTGCTAAACCACTTTCAGTTCCTATTTGGCACATAATAGGAGAGATTAAAGCCACCTAAATGAGTCATACTTTATTTAATAACCATCTTACCAGGCACATTTTCTAATAATGTTCTGATGCTCCTGGGCTTGAACTGCTCTTTGGGGGGAAGTGAGACACTGCTAGGGCTTCAATTATATAGTTAGGATGTTTCTGAGTATAAATAGTATGGTTAGGGTACCTTTGAGTGTACCCCAGTGAGCATTTGCGAATTTGCTCTTTCAGTTTGTTGGGCCTTGAGGGAGAGTCCTGTTCACTGTTTACTTAGTCCTCATAGCCCCCTATGAAACCAGGGCTGGAAATTAGAAAGGAGAGATGCAGTTTTCCGTTGCATAGGTGGAGAGACTGCCTTGTCACGGGATTAACTATTCAGTGCTTTCACTAAGTCAGTGGTATAACAATAAGACAGAGGAGAGATATTTATTCTTCTGGATGCCTGTATTTAAGAAAAACTTACATATAATATGTTTTTGTTTTGGGGGATCATATAAAACTAAGCATTCCTTGTACGTGGCCTAATTGGAATCAGTAGAATGTTTCCTCTTCCATTGGATAACACTGGGAGATTACATTTGCTGGCTCCGGTACTTAGGACTTAATCACACTAAGGTGATGGTGTTGAGACTTTCCACAGGGAAATACATTTATTCACAGTGCCATCTTAGGAAACTTGTAGATCTCAGCTCGTGGTATAAAAATTTTTAATATTACCTGTGTTTGCTTTTTCTTGCTCCCCTGATTCCATATTATCTCACTCATTCCCAATGTCTGTGTTTTTTAATTCCAATCTTCTTTTATTTCTTTGCCTCAAATCAGTTTTTAAAAATGACTTTTGTTGTTAAAACTTCCTGAATTATCCCCCAAACAATCATAACAACTATAACAGTTAAAAAAAAAAAGACTGTCACATTGTTCTTACAATATCTAACTCTAGGAATACTGACTTTTACAGAATGATAGAATTTTTTAATTTTAAGGGACTTTAGACAGTTTTTACAGTAAGCCACTTGGATATCCTCATTGGGAAGTGCCATTCAAACCCTTTTCCCCTAAAGTAAGCTACATCATGGCCCCCCAAAATGTGGTCCCCCTGGAACCTAAATATTATCTTATTTATAGGGTTATACAGATGTGATCAAGGATTTTACAATGGAGAGATAATACTGGATTATCTGGGTGAGCTCTAAATGTAATCCCATGCATTCTTACAAGAGGCAGGCAGAGGGAGATTTGACACAGACAGAAGAGAAGGCAATGTGACTGCGAATCAGATATTGAAGTAATGTGGCCGCAAACCAAGGAAAGCCATCAGCCTTCAGAAGAATCAAGGAATGAATTCTCCTCTACAGCCTCTGAAGCGAACAAAACCCTGCCAACACCTTGATTTCAGTCGAGTGATAATTATTTCACACCTTTTGCCCCCAACAATGTGAGAGAATAAATTTCTGTTATTTCAAGCCATCAAGTTTGTAGTAATTTGTTACAGCAGCCATAGAAACCTAATAAACTCCCTCTGCAAAAATTGGGTTATCTTTTTTCTTATTGGTTTAAATGAGATTGTTATATACTCTGGACATAATATCTTTATGGGATATACGAATTGCAAATATCTTATTTCATTTAGGGCCTTGCCTTTTCCTTCCCCAAATGGTGTCTTCACAATTAGACATTCTCTATTTTAATGAAATCTAATTTATCAAACTTTTCATTTCTGGTTGGTGTTTTTTGGGTTCTGTTTAAAACAACTTACTTATTACTCTTAACATTTAGGTCCAAAATCCAACTAGAATTGATTTTTGTGTATAAGGTGAAGCAGGGGTCAAGATTCATGTCTTTCCCACAATTCATTGACCCAGTGCCATTTATTTAAAAGGTGATCATTTGAATTCTTTGAACAAAGATATATTGCAGTTGTATCTTTGTCACCAATCAAGTGGCTATATGAGTTAGTTTGGTCATCTGGGAAGCAGATGTCGAGATAAAATTAGAAGTACAAGAAATGTACAGAGGGTAAAAGATAAAGGGAAGAGAGATAAATGGAAGAAGATGTAGGAAAAGGGAGGGAAAACCTTCATGCTTGTGATGATTTGCCACCTATGAAAGGAGAGGGAAAGGAGGAATGCGTAAGAGCCTCAGAGGACTGTACAGCTAGAGAAAGTCTAGGCCGGTTTAGTGGACAGCTCAGGGCAGAGACTACCTGTAAGAAAAGTCTCCAACTGGAAAGAAGTGGCCAGGTCCTAAAACTTCCACTGTGCTTGGTCATCAACTTCCCAGGAAGAATGTGTCTCTGACTTGAATGCTGCAGCAGATCCCTAAGGCATCTCAGCAAGTGAACCCTTCAGGGCAATTTCTTGCTTGAAGGAAGATCTGAGAAACACACCTACATGGCGTCCAAAGTCCACCCCTTGCACCATGCAGGTCCACTTCTCCATGCATATTCAGACTCCATGGTTCCCAGTGGCCTCCCTTCCTGATAGAATGCTCGAAGAGGATGGTTAGCAGGATGAACAACCACTCTTGTGTTTGCAGCTACTCTTGTGTTGCAGCTGCAATCGGTATTTATGGTCTTTACGCCACCATTCTCCATTCTTCTCACCTTCAGCTGTCACTGCTGCAGGTCTTGGTAGTTTACCCTCAAACCCTCATTTTTGAGTCATTGGGGTCCTTAGTAATCATACTCTTAGCAGGCCAGGGTTGCTGTGCATGTCTGCTGAGTTACATCTGGGTGAGGGAATACCAAGAGGCACCACAGTGGATCCCTGAGTTTACACATATTCCACTCTGTCTCCTTATGTAAGAGAAGCCCTATCTCATCCTACTAATCAAGGTCAATTACCCCTGTCTAGAGGTGGATTCCTTTTCTCACCTGACAGTCTCAGGACCACAAAGAGTTCAAAGTGCCAGGGAGCAGTCATTGGTCAGTAGGTTCCTTGCATTGTCCCCTGGCTAGAGTATGACTTTTTTGAGGTTGAAAATCTCTAGACCTGCAAAGCCCAGGATTTATGGGACAGAAAGCACAACATTCCCCAAGAGGTATGAGGAGTCGTGGTAAATGGAGCCACTCCTGCTGCCTCCCATTGTTTCCTGAATCCACGTGTTTCTTCCTCTTGGAGATATAGCACCTTATAGGAGTCTCTGGAGGAGACCACTTCATACTTGAAGAAGAGACTGGCCTCTGAGCCGGTACTGGAGCTGCACATTCAGCAGGATGTGACAGTGCTCTATCACATTGGCTGCTTCCAGATTTTGTGGCATGGGATGCAACCAGTGTACCCCATAATCATGGGTTTATTCCCACACCTCCTTCACAATGAAATGGGACACATGTCTGGATGCTGTTATATGGAATCGAGCACTCTGTAAGCCTCTGGGTAGTAATGATGGATGAGGTTCTTTGGGCTACAAAAGCAAACACATACATGGAAGAGTTGTTCATTCCTGTAAGAACAAGCTATGGGCTGTTCTAGGAAAGATGGGGCTCAATAAACTCACCACCATGTGTCCAGTTGGCTTCCCAGAGGAAGTATGATATTGGGATCTTACCTTGGTTTTGCTGCTGTCAGGTTGTATATTCAGAGGCAGCAGTAGCTGGATCAACCTTCACTAGTTGGAGCCGAGGCTTTTGGGCTCATTTGTAGCTGCTCCTGAATGGGGCTGTAAAGCCGATCCCTATCTACCAAGCATAATTCAGAATGAACCAAGCTCTGGGTTTGGTCAAAACAGATCCTCTATGTGGCCACAGGTGTGAAAAGCAGGTGGAGTGCTGGTGCAAAATTGGTGGATAACATTAGGGTCTACACTTCCCCTAGCCAGTTTAACCACTGGTTCTTAAAAAAAGTGTGTGTGTGTGGGTGTGTATACATATATATGCACATACATAAGTTTATAATTTTACTGATATGAAGGATATGTAGTATTCATTTACAAATAATAGTAAAATAAACAATATTATTTATTTTAAATTCCATATAGCCAATATATTCTTATAGAATGCTTTTGCTGATTTTTGACAAATTATTGTATCTATAGCCAACCTATGATAGCAACTGATGAATGAATGTAGTTCTGATAATAATGTCAACTGATAGTTTTATATCCATCAACTTTAATGAGTAAGACAAAAGTGAAACAACAAAGATATATGTTGGAACTTCACTCCTTTGCTAATGATGCAACTAGCTTGTTAGCTGAATGGAATAACAATTTTTAAAATATTGGAATATTTTTCATTTTTTGTGCCATACACAATATAATGGTGATAGAAATGACACACATTTAAAACTTAATCTAATCCTGGGCAAACAGAGACACTTTGTCTCTAATTTTTAAAATGAGACAGGCATGGTTATTAGGGGAAATTCAGCCAGATATCGGGCAAAATTCACCCCCAATATTTCACGTAGTTTCCTTTCTATTTTCCCTAAGCATTGGCTGGTTTGAGAAATAAAGGGACAGAGTACAAAAGAGAGAAATTTTAAAGCTGGGCCTCTGGGCAAGACATCACATGTCGGTAGGTTCCGTGATGCCCCACAAGCCGCAAAACCAGCGAGTTTTTATTAGGGATTTTCAAAAGGGGAGGGAGTGTACGAATAGGGTGTGGGTCACAGAGATCACGTACTTCACAAGGTAATAGAATATCACAAGGCAAATGGAGGCAGGGCGAGATCACAGGACCACAGGACTGGGGCGAAATTAAAATTGCTAATGAAGTTTTGGGCACCATTGTCATTGATAACATCTTATCAGGAGACAGGGTTTGACAGCAACCGGTCTGATCAAAATTTATTAGGCGGGAATTTCCTCGTCCTAATAAGCCTGGGAGCGCTATGGGAGACTGGGCCTTATTTCATCCCTACAGTCTCCACCATAGAAGACGGCCACACCCAAGGGGGCCATTTTAGAGGCTCACCCACAGGGGCGCATTCTCTTTCTCCGGGATGTTCCTTGCTGAGAAAAAGAATTCAGCGATATTTCTCCCATTTGCTTTTGAAAGAAGAGAAATATGGCTCTGTTCCGCCTGGCTCACCAGTGGTCAGAGTTTAAGGTTCTCTCTCTTATTCCCTGAACATTGCTGTTATCCTGTTCTTTTTTCAAGGTGCCCAGATTTCATATTGTTCAAACACACATGCTCTACAATTTGTGCAGTTAATGCAATCATCACAGGGTCCTGAGGCGACATACATCCTCCCCAGTTTATGAGATGACAGGATTAAGAGATTAAAGTAAAGATAGGCATAGAAAATCACAAGGGTATTGACTGGGGAAGTGATAAGTGTCCATGAAATCTTCACAATTTAGAGATTGCAGTAAAGACAGGCAAAAGAAATTATAAAAGTATTAATTTGGGGAACTAATAAATGTCCATGAAATCTTCACAATCCACGTTCTTCTGCCATGGCTTCAGCCAGTCCCTTCGTTTGGGGTCCCTGACTTCCCGCAACACATAGTGGCATGTGTCTATTATCCCAGCTACTCAGGAATCTGAGGCAGGAGGATTCCTTGAGCCCAGGAGGTTGAAGCTGCCACTGCCCTCCAGCCTGGATAACAGAATGAGATCCAGTTTCTAAAATAAACAAATGAATACATAAAATCTACATGATTACGATTTTTCCTATTACATTCTGTGTAGACAATCTACACAACTGTACAACTGTATAGACAGTCTACAAAAAACAATAAATCAAGACCTCATTTGTAGCAGTTGACAATGTAAGTTATATAGATCCTTCAAAACAGCTATTTCAAACTATCAACATACCAGCACTGAATGTGAAGTGGTAAAGAGATACACTGTAGCACACTATTATAGAGTATTTCTACCATTCAGACATAAAAGACATAATCTCAAAAGCATAGGTAGTAGTAAAATGTAGTAAAATCATTAAGAAGTAAAAAAGTTTGAGTATTTCTTGCCTTTGTCTTTAATATAATTTATTTAATTGTAAGTTTATATAATTTAATTTGTAATGATAGTTGTGTTTAACAACTGGCTTCCAAAACGCCTGGAAATTTAAAAATTGACTCTGGGAGACAGTACAGGCTGCTGCCTCTGGCCCCACTTGTACTTGATCCCAGATGTACCACTTCCATTGTATGTCGGAATGCTTTTATGTCTGTTCAACCTTATGACTTGGTGGGTCTGGAAGAATCCAGATCACAATTGGCCATTCTACTGCATGGTCATTTAGAGTTGCATGAGTCCCGCACTCTGTCTCTACTAGGGCCCAGTAGTGCATCAGGAATGTTCGTGAGTGTATATGATTTATTACTGCAGGTGGCATGGACTTGTCCCAGAACCCTATGAGTCTGCATTATAATTCTCCTCCAGGGCCTTGCCAGACACTTTACATGGTGTCTTTTCCTACCACCGACACTTAACATAGGGTTCTGTCCACACACATGCCCCCAGGGGGAGGGCAGCTTGCGCCATAGCCTGGACCTACTGCACAATCGTTTCCTGCTATGGGCCTCTCCAAACTGGCAGCCACTGGGGTACCAGTATGTGGGCTGGATTAGTATTCCTAGGTGTAGAATATGCTGTCTCCACAAATAGTAGAGGCCTACCAGGTATTGTGCTTTCTTCTTGGAGGTGAAAGTTGCTGGATGCAACAATTTGTCATTTACTTTGAAAGCAATGTCCTGCTACTTGAGCCCTAAATATTTTACTGATTTGACAAGTCTTTTCATCTTTGTAGGATTTTTTTCTTCCACTCTCAGGAGGGCATGTTTCTTACCAAGGTCTCCAACTTTAGTGGTGAGAGGAGAAGTGGAAGCAAATCCTTAGGGGTACACAAACTGTCTTGCAAAGAAGAGGCTATTGCATCTTCTTCAAGGTTAATGAGGTTGGGGACTCACCCTTAGTAGGGAGCATTGGGCCACTTCTGCATTCTCAGGAGTTCCAGAGGAAACTGAGAATTTACTATTTTCATGGGCATCAGCCTCAATATGCCTATTTCATATGTTGATATCCCATTTTTTTCCCAACCAAAGTGCTGACCTTGGCATGGCAGACCAGCCTATTTTGGGAAATTAACCTTCTCTTGGGCTCTGTCACTCTTACGGATTAAATCTCAGGACTGATCTTCAGTTTTCTTTGCTGTCTGGTTGCAGAAGATGCGAATTTCATTATATGCTAAGAGGCCTTCTGGATTTTACATTTAGCTTTTAATTGCCAACTAATTGCTCCAATTTTTTCATTAACTTTCTCCAAAGCATCAACTGGGAGCCACCCAATTCCACTGTCCCTAGGGTTACAATTTCTCTTGCATTTCCCAAAAGCCTGAAACATTGCACAGTGTAGTGCTTTCACTTTACAAATAACATTCCCTTTTATCACCAGTGAACATTTTTATAGTGGAACTGATACCTTGTGCCAGCATTATCTGTGCTCCAGCTAGCTCCAGTGATGGTATACTTTTTCCAGCTGGGTTGGTGGGTAATACAACTCCAAGAGCTGATCTTAACATATGCTTTCTGGGGCCACTCCTAGCACCAACTTTTTCAGGTTGGGATCCTTAGGAAGCAGAGTCTGATGGATTTTTAAGGTGCTGGATGTGTATATGGGAGTGCTCTTAGGATCACCACCTGTGGAAAGTAAGGGAAAAAAGGATTAGTCAAAGGGAGCAGCTGAGCCATATATGGCCTCAGTGGAGACACCTTGGAAAGATCTGAAGCTGGAATGATGATCAGAATTGTTGCTAGCAAGGGCAGGAGGGTCAAGCGGGCCTCCGTAACCCAACACCCATCAGTCATTGGATTCATGCTACCCTGGAAAGAGGAGGTGACCTTGGTGGAGGTGTCCCTTTTCAGGCAAGACAATTCTAAAGAGGACTGATACCTGAGGGTTTCCTTCCAATAGAACTCTCAAGAGCTGGGAATAAGTCCACTGGTTTTGAAGAAGGGTCTAGAAAGCTCATCAGAGGCCCACCACTAACATGCAACAGTGGTAATTTGCAAGGGGCCCGAAAGAGTTAGGAGACTTTCAAATGTAGAAACTTATTTAGTGTGCAGCACTCTCAGCTAATTATTGATAGACTATAGCTAGTATTTTAAAATGAGAACCTTTGAAGAAGACAGGGACGTTTAGGAGCCAAAACCAAAGGCCTTACCCAGTTCTTTGCATATTGACTGAGCAGAAGCAGTTCAAACACCTGCAAAGCCCAGAAATGAATAATCAGACCCAAGTGACTGCCTTGCATAAGAATAATTTGCTCGTCATATCCCGGATTGCCCAAAGAGTTGAAATAAATAAAAATGAAAGAAGTGTTTTAGAAGCCAGTTCAGCTCCTAGGCCCAAACCAAGAATTAAACCTGGGGCTTTTTGTAAGTGCGGGCCAATAAATGGGCTGTGAAGTTAAACCGCCGGTGGCTCCTCTAAACACACCCAGGCAGGGCAAGCAGGATGTCCTTGTCCAGGGAGACCTCTTCTCCTGGCTTTGGGGAAGGTGCTCCCTGTCCCCAAGGGAGGCTGGGACTGCAGGACGCAGCGCCCGGCGGGTGAGAGAAAGTCCGGGCAGAAGATCACGAAGCTGGCGACTGGAAGCGAGCGCGGGGCGGGGTGGAGAGCCTCTCCCCAGGTGCCGCTGCTGTTGTCCCGGGTGCTGAAAAGCCGGGAACTTCCCGAGAAGCAGAGGCACTTTTCTCCCTGGAAGGTGGGCGTAGGGGTTCCAGGCGGCGCACCTGCTAAACCCGCTTGGTCCCCCGCGAGGGGTCCGCCAGATGTGCCCCTCCCCAGCCCCTTTTGGGGTCTGGGGCGTGGGGATGAGCACAGCCGGGCACCACAGGCGGGACCGCGGGTTGCCCTTCCCCTCCTCTCCTGGGTAGCCTAGCGCCAGGATCCCCACTCCACCTGCGCGCGAACTCTCGCCATCTGGTACTCAAGCGCCTGCAGTGAGAGCGCTGCGGTAAACAGAAGGCACCCGCGTGGGTTCCCAGTTTTTTGGGGGCGTGGATGTATTGGGTTTTGGGGAGCACGATCGGGGCATTCGCAGTGGGGAGGAGGAGGTGTTGATAGCCGGGGCCGCGGCGCTGCTGGCAGGCGCGAGCTGCCTGTGCTAAGGCCGTTCCCTGCAGGGCGAGTTCGTGGGCGACCGTGAACAACCCCGACGTGCGGCCCAGCGCCTCGCTCTGCTGGGGCATCTTCACCAACGACTTCTGGGGCCAGGGCATGGCCGAGAACACCAGCCACAAGTCCCACCGGCCACTCTGCACCCTCACCTTCAAGTGCACTCCTGTCCAAGGCTCCCCGCCGCGCCTTGGCTGGGACGTGTCGCGGAGTTGTGGGACTGGCTTTTAAAAATTTTTTCCGGGCCCTCCCTCCGAGGTCCCCTCCATTCTCAGTTGCCCACGCCTCTCCCCAGTATGGTTAACGCCCCAGCCTCTCTGGGCTTCTAGGGCTAGGTTTGCTAAGCAACATACAGAGCGTCCTGTATTTTTGTTTGCTAAGTCCAACAGTTCTACCTGGAGCGGTTCAAGAGGGACAGGTTGGGGAGTTTGAATCGTCTGTGCTCTTCAGTGGCTTTTCCCTGGGTGCAGAGCTGGAACGCACTCCCATGTTGCCCTCCAGACCTGTGGGGCCGCTGCAAAAGAAAATCTGCGTGAACTCAACGGCCTTGGATGGAGCGGGCAGGAGCTGCTTCCAAGTTGAGACCCTTTGCAGATTGGTGAGCAACTTTGCAATGAGGAGCAGGATCCTGAGAGAGAACAGAAGACCCTGACCCATTGGTGCTCACTGAGCCTTGCCAACCTGTCAGAAATGTTCGCCATCGAGACTTGAAAGCAAAGAAAGTAAGGCCCAAGGTGGGTTCTTCCTGGCTTCCCAACCTAAATTGTTCTTCTCTCTCCATCTCCTCCTCTTCCTCATTCCCTCTTCGCTTCCCCACGCCCACCTTTGCTCCCTTCCCTTCCTTCCGTCTTCCTTCCTTCTGTTCAGCATTTCTGGTGTGAATAATTTACACTTGTAAGAGCAACCATTATGCCATTTCTCCCCTTTGAGCCTTGATTGGTTTAAATGTGTTTTGCTCTTCCTGGTTCTCTTGCTAAGCGGTTTCTGCTGGATTGTTAATGCCCTTAAATTCTAAAGAGCAAGTGGAAGTCTTCCTCTCTGAGTAAGAATTACAGAGGGTGCAGGTGAGCTTGATTTAGATCATTTGCCTAAAATAAATATAGACTATTCTCAATTCTTAAAGAAATATTACTACCAGCCCAGTGAACAGTGTCTCTTTGTTACAGATGGTAAATTTAAGCCAGATACACTGTTTATTCATTCATTCAACAAATATTCATAAAGTAACCTTTGTGTGCAGTTAGTTTTCCAGCCACAGGGTCCCCAGTGATGTAGGTCAGGTTAAACATGATTGAAGGCAATGGCCGGTTTACAGAGCAAAATAAAAAGTCTGCCAAACTAAAAACATCTTAGATATTTAGAGAAGATGGGGTAATAAATGGGGACTAAATGGATGTGCCTTGGATTCCATCTTCGTTGTATGGAATGGAGGAAAAACAGGGGAACGATATTCCCAGATCATGCGGGTTTTCATGGATATTACTTGGTGGGTCCCTAAATGAAGGGTTCTTCTGAAGCATCTATTTTTTTATCAACAAATTTATTTCCTGACTTCCTTCATAGCAATATTTATATTTTTCCTATGTTTGAGCACTCAGTTATCCCACTTAAAACCAAAGGAATGCTTGATTATGCCAAGGTAATATCATCTCCCCGCTCAAAACAACAGCATACACATGATAATGGATGATTTCTGTTCTCAAGGCCCTGTTTGATCTGACCCCTGGTTATGCCTAGGTTGTAATTTTTTATGCATCTCTAACTTGTTCAGTCCATACTCTTGTTGCATTCTACCACCTGTGTGTTTTGTGTGTTCCTTGTATGCTCAAGCACACTGCCACCTCAGGGCTTTTGCACTTTCTGCTTGCTCTTCCTGTAATTCTCTTCCCCCAGATATTCTCCAGGTTGTGTCTCCTCACCTCTGCCAGGTCTCTACTCACATGTCTTACCTCATTGGAGAGACATTTGTTGTCCACCCTATCTAGAAAAGCAACCACTTCTCCCCAGCCTCACTATTGCTCTTACCCTGCTTTGCCTTAGTAACACTCATTGCTGACAGGCATTATATATTTGCTTATTTTTTTCTCTCTCCAATACAGTGTAAGTTCCATGAGGAGTATCCCTAGCCTCTAGAACAGTTTCTTACATACAGAGTAGACAATAAACATTAGTGAATGAATGATTGTTTTTTGTGAATGTTTAGTAACTTTTCTAGATAATTATTAAGGCTGGTCTGTAATGTTTTTATTTATTTGCTTAGTGGAGGTATAAATTCTCCTTGCTCATATTTCCCAACCTGTTTATCATTTCTTCCTCACTCTTAGGAGAAAAACAGAAGCAGAGTGGGAGGTCCCTAGAAAAGGAGATTCCAGGCAAAGGGTGGAGCTTGTTCAAAGGCATTAAGGTGACAGTAGCTACAGTACAGGGGGTGAGGTGGAGAGTGTTACAGTGACCTGGTTGTTGATGGGGAGAGGTGGGCAGCAGCCAGACATGGAGCTTTGTAGGCCAGACTATGAAGTTTTCATTTGAGTCTAATGAGTTGCAGGATTTTAAGCACAAGCTTGGGATGATCTAATAAAAGTTTCTAAAAGCTCACTCCAGCTTTGCTGTGGAACATTTATTGTAGGGAGTGAGAATCAGAATAGATAACTGGCTAGAAGATGTTTGTTGTGGTCAAGGTGAGAGGTGGTGATGGCTTCAATCGGGTAGTAGTAATAGAGATGATGTGTAGTAGACAAACTGGGTACATGCTTTAGAGGTGGAATGGAAGGGACTCAATGAAGCATTAATGTGTAGGGTGAAAAAAGTAAGGAATTGAGGAAAATTAGCAAGGCAGTGTGTGTGTGTGTGTGTGTGTGTATGTATGTAGGAGGAAGAGTAGTGGTAGCTCTCCATTAAGCCCTTTCACCCATTCATGCATAGGCACACATACACACTTACCTCCACATCAATACACTCACACATTCATATCAGTACACACCCACACTTTGGACGCTTCCGTTCAAGGAAGAGATGGGCTCATCAGTCACTACTTTTTGTGAATCCTAACAGTCCACCTTCTGGACTTTCATCTAGGTCACATTCTCCATCTTGTATACAGGGATTTTATGAGAGATTTTGATGAATGACTTTTCAAAATTAAATTTGCAAACATATTTATAGCACTTCCTAGTTTAAGTCCTATTTTAAAAATGAGATTAGTTAAGGCTTTTTTTTCCCCTAAACCCATATTGGCTTCCAGTGTAATCAGAAATCCTTTTCTGCTCACAAACCACTTGCTTAGTAATCTGTTCTACAATGGTTTATCACTTGGTGTCATGCTTACTCATTTATGGTTTTAGAGTTTACTTGCCACATTTTAGAAAAATGGGAAAGTTTTTGAACTCCAGATTTTTGGCTCCTCTCTATTTCTCAGTGATTTCTTATAGATTAAGTTCAGCTATCTCAAACATTGTGTGAGGTATTTCACATAGTTATCTCATTACTGCAGTTACTCCATGTTTGACCGTTTCCTTTGCTATTTTGAAATCTAGTTAAGCATGTCAGACATTCTCTCCTAATCTATTACAGGAAAAGAAGATCTATGCAGAGTGCATATGCACATTTTTCAATAGGATGCATATGGACCACCAGAGGTGATATATGCCTTCTTGACATCACTTTATGCAACTCATAAGAGTGTAGTAATAGAATAATGATACCATCTCTCAAGATGACTTTTATTTTGCATAAAGGCGATAAGTTATTTTTCACCTTTTAAATGATAATGACATTGTGCAATCTAAAGGTTTGGTCCTAATTATTGTATCTGTGGGAATGAGTCATGCGCATCAGGATGTGACCTATGGATGCCTCGCTCTTCTCCCTTGGGTATTTTTCACTTTGTTCCCCTCCTTTATACCTTAGCTTTCCATGCCAAAAAGAAACATGTGAAATGAGCAGCATTTAGATGTCAGAAAGTGGGAAGTTGGTACTAGTTTCTTGTGCCTTTTATTTGCAGGGGAATGAACAGCAGTGTTACATGTAAGACTTAAAGAATCATTGCTTTTTCTGACCATAAAAAATTGTATTTGTAAAAATTTAGAAAAATTCAGAAAGGTACAAAAATGAAAATAAAACCCATGTGCAATCCTACCATTGTTAACATTTTGGTGTATATTCTCATTATTTACTGATGCATGCATATATATAATGAACAAATATTATGCACATATATTAATAATATGATTATTTTATTTACTGAGAGACAGACTGTAATACTGTTCTGCTACTTGCTTCTCAAACTTAATAATGGATCATCAACATTTCCTTCTACAATTGAATTTATAACTGATTTTATTACACGAGCAAGGCCTTTAAGACTTTCTCTCACTCAGTCATGTCTTTTAACAACAAAATGGGAAGCCCCTGCATTGTGTTGCATAATCTCCTTTAAAATGCTTATATAATAAAAATATATTTTTATGTTAATAAATATAGTTTCACGTGATCATTTTAATCGTCCATAATAGTTCATATTGTGATGCCACCAAAATTAATTGAATCATCCCCATATGGTTGGAAATTTAGTTTTATGTTTCTAATTTTTTGGTCTCATAACTAATGTGGTGAGGCACATTCCTGTACATATATATCTTTATGCATATACCTGGTTGTTTCCTTTCATCAGAATCCTGGAGGCAGAATTACTCAGGCAAATATTATGTACTTTAAAAAGTTTTTGACACATATTGCTGTATCCTCCTCTAGCCTGGACATCTACCAGAGATTGTCTATTTTCTCTCACTGTGATCATGAGTGTGAATGTATTTTAAACAAACAGCTTAGTAAGTCTGTAAAGTTGAGCCTGAATTGAAAAAAATAGCAACAAGGCAGCTGCAGGGAGAGGGCCTGGAGGGAATGGAGCCTAAGTTCTGAGGGCTGGAGCCTCGCCTTTTCCTTCTCTCTCAGGTGTTGTCCCAGTGCTTTCCGATTCCCAGCATCTCTCCCTTCCTTTCCCTTGGAGGAATGCGATGCTCTCCCCGTATCTTAAGGGACTTCCTACTCATTTTGTCCACTGCCTTTTTCTCATTTCCTCTGGTTGGGCCCTGTGGCAAGGGGGTGATTTCACATTAGCTCTTAAGAAAGCTGGGTTACCTCAAGGGTATGCCAACACACAATTGGGGCCAGTCTCCCTTCAGAGCACTGGCATTAGACCCCACCCTGTATTTCCTTTCTCTAGCATTTGGTATGTGCATGATTATTTCAATTTATTCCAGTGGGAATGGAAATGCAGTGGATAACAAGAACTGTTTTCCATTCTCATTAGATTGATCTGCCAAACTATAATCTGTGCTGTTCAGCATTCTGTAGGTTCTAAGTTATGCACACTTGAGGTATTTAGAATGAGCCTACAGCATCTGTAAACTCAGACTTCCACAATTTCAAATGACTTGGCAAAGAGGAAGTGTTTGCATAGTAAGAAAAGCAAGTTGAGGTCAAGGCGGCAAAGACATCGAACGACTGTTTCAGTTAAATGGCTTGGAATGTAGTCGGTATGGACAACGTCAGTGGCCTGTATATGTTGTCCTATCTACTCCCATCCCCTACTCCCCGCTATCTGCATGTACATTTCTTATATTATATTCTGTTAAGAATCTAAGACAATCTTTAGAAGTCTCTTTGTTCTACATTTCTATCTTAGGAAATTTTTTGAAAAGAGACTTGAACAATAGGTTTCTCTCCTTTTTCTCTTTTCCTTTAGTTTATTTGTAATCTTAGAATTCAGCTACTCAGATCACTGGAAGTTTATATTAGCAGCCTTTTAATAAAAATTTCAATGCTATGGTTTTGCCTATTCTTTTAAATCTCAGCTGTAGCTAATAAGAAGCCTTTTGATTCTCTGAAGAACCATTTGTGGGATGGTAATTAGGTGATGCTACAGATTCACATGTAGAAAGTTCATTCCTGGTGACACCATAGGTGAGAGGACACATTCCCCCAATTTGTCCCAATTGCAGATGTGATCACAGAAGAATAGGCACCATGATTTCCACCTCATCTCTGGTCACTGTGACTCTGACCCACAGCACTGTAGGATTTGAATATTCAGCAGTTTAGGAAGAACCTGTCATTTCTTCGGTGCTCCAGAGCACAGGACTTGGATTGCATTTTATGTAGAGTAAGGGGAAGAACTGGGTCAGCGCCTGCCTACTTGCTGTTTATACGAAACCAAAGTTTCTCAAAATAGTGTTCTTATGCATTTCCCATTATTTCTCACATTTGGTTCGGTATAAAAAGGGATATTTACTCAAATATATAGAAAAGCAGATGTTGGAGGTAATTTTTAACTTATTAATCGCGTAACTTACCATTATAAATAATGGATTCCCTTTGCTTTCCTCATGGTATTTATTGGCATCCTCTGAACACAAGAATCACATATTCTGTTTTTAGCTAATGTATTTTCATGTAGTAAATATCATTTTACACTGCTTAGCAACTCTCATGCTGATGTGCACTTGTGACAAAACTGGCTTCAAGAATCCCGGACTTGATGGTTACCAAAGGCTAGGAAGGATAGTGGAGGGGACGGTGAAGGGGGGGAGGTGGGAACGGTTAACGGGTCCAAAAAAAGAGAATGAATGAATAAGCGTTAGTATTTGATAGCACAACAGGGTGGAGACGGGGAGGTGGGGATGGCTAATGGGTTCGAAAATAGAATGAATGAATAGGCATTTGTATTTGATAGCACAACAGGGAGACTATAGTCAATAATAACTAAATTGTACATTTAAAAATAACTACAAGAGTATAATTAGATTGTTTGTAACACAAAAGATAAATGGATATCCCATCTTCCATGATGTGATTATTACACATTGCATGCCTGTATCAAAACATCTCAGGTACACCATAAATATATACATCTACTGTGTGCCTACAAAAATTAAAAATTAAAAAAAAGCTACAAAAAAAAAGAATCCTAGACTTGCTTTTATTACGGTGATGTTTGGTGCCTTGTATTCTTCACACACTAAAGCGGAAGTATAATTGGAATATGGAATAAGAGCAAAAATTAAAGCTAAATTGATCTTTTTTTCTTTCTCAAAATCAAACGTTACACTTGAATTGAAATAATTTGTGGTGAGCAGAAAAAAATAAAAAAACTCCACTAAAGTAGTTTCTTTATCTTTATAAATCATTAGCTGGATCTGCTTGACAGCTTCCCTTTATTAGTGTTCAAATTGCCTTTATTGTACCTCCAGGACCAAATGCTTTCTAATTCACCACCATTATCATTATAAGTAAGAATCCAGGCCACTGTTCTTATTGCAGAATTATAAGACCTTAGGTGTTTTAATCACCAAGCATCCTTTGAGTTGCCTATCATGCTGTTATTATTCTTGTTCTAAATTTATGCATTTTTTTATAATTCTTCCTTTATATTTATAGTGTTTTTAATGCAAAACTGTGAATGCTCTGATGGGTAACAAAGTTAGCATGGTATTCTTCAAACTAGAAGGACAAAATGATGTGGCCTCTGCATTATATTTAAAGTTATTGAAATATAAGTACAATTATGTCCTGGGCAATGACACAAAGTTATTTGTCTGGAAAGTATAGATATTCTGGCTCTATGACCTTCCTCTGATCATTCACCAAGTCTGATTTTGTTCTTTCCCAGGATCCACTGCCAGTTTACACTAAGTCAGCTGGGATATGCTGAGGGTACATAGGGACTTTACAAGGGACACAAGGGTGCAACAGTTATTTTTTTTAAAAAGTATTTCCAGTGCTTCATCTCCATTTTCCTAAAATTGCTTGAGCATGTGCCTGTGATTGTGACATCAAACTAGCTGTCTTTTTTCTCTTCCCTTCTACAATTGCAGTTCTCTCAATTTAAAAACATAAGGCATACCTCTCATTCGGAGTGGTATTGTGCCACAAGTTTAAAAATTGCTGAGGCACCAAACAAGCACACAATTTGCAATATTGGTGCCAGCAACTCCACCTTTCTTAAAGCACCAAAAGCCAACATGGACCTTTGATTTTTCCTGCCATATTTCTTATAAGGGGAAAGCATAGAATTAGAAACAAGATGTTTTGACCCATATCAGTGTTGGCATGAATGGAATTCATTCTTGAATAGGAATTACTGAAAATGTGTTTATTTGAACTTAAAAAATGAAGGCAGCCCTTTTTTTTCTAACATAAAGAAGTCTTATTTGGCCAATTGACTTGATAATACATATTGATAATGCCAGTTAAAATATATGGCAGTTATTTTCCATAAATTTAATGAGCTAATCCACAGCTCCAAGAGTTTGATGAAAATATAGTCAAAGCCCATGTGTTGGGAGTCCATTTTCCCTGAACAGCTCTTGTTCCTGTACAAGCTGAGCCTTCTGATCAAAGGACATATTTAAATAGCAAACAGCTTTGGAAGCTAGAGATAGTGTATCCCTCAGGAAAGATTGAGAAACATACCTCCCCTCTCTAAATACGTTGGTTAAATAAGGTGCTTTTAAGTAAAAACAGTAACAAGTATAAGCAATAATACTTAGTTAAGTTTTGATAAAGCCTTTTTTTATGTACTTCCCAGAAACAGAGAAGGTGAATGACTCTAAAGAACAGAGTGGCAAATCATTTTGCAAATATGGTGGATTCCAATTACTTACTTTCAACAAAATGGAATGGGGATCTAGTAGGTTGTCAGCTGATACTTTAACAAATATGTTTTATAGACCATTAGGTAATTTTTGGCTTACAACATAAAAAGAGTTCAAAGAATTGAGTCATTGCTATGATACAACACCACCTTCCACTTTTACTAGCTCATGTAAACCAATGGTCCCCAGATTTTTTGGCACCAGGGATTGGTTTTGTGGAAGACAAGTTTTCCACCGGCCAGGGTTGTGGGGGATGATTTTGGGATGATCCAAGTACATTACATTTATTGTGCACTTTATTTCTACTATTGTTACATTGTAATACATAATGAAATAATTATGCAACTCACCATAATGTATGCTTAGAGGGAACCCTGTGCTTGTTTTCCTGCAACTAGACAGTCCCATCTGGGGATGAAGGAAGACAGTGACAGATCATCAGGCATTAGATTCTCATAACGAGTGCACAGCCTAGATCCCTCACATGTGCAGTTTACAATAGGGTTTGTGCTCCTATGAGAATGTAATGCTGCTGCTGATCTGACAGGAGGTGGCACTTGAGTGGTAATGCAACTGATGGGGAGTGGCTGTAAATACAGATGAAGCTTTGCTCACTTGCCTGCCACTCACTTCCTGCTGTGTGGCCTGGTTCGTAACAGGCCATGGAAAGGTACCTGTCCATGGCCCAGGGGTTGGGGACCCCTGATGTAAACAGCACACACAAAAACTAAAAGTAGAGTTGATTCTTCAGGTTTTCTTCCTGTAGCATCAAGTAACAGTGATCTCAGATACAAGAATCAACATCTCCCTGGCACCCAAAATCCCCAAAACATGCAAAACAGCCTGCGATGGCCTGAATGTTTTTGCCCCATGTTCCACCAAATTTGTAAGTTGAAAGCTAACCTCCAAGGTATTAGAAAGAGAGTCCTTTGGGAGCTGATTAGGTCTGGAGGGTGGAGCCCTCATGAGTCAGATTAGTGCCCTATCAGAGAAGCCCCAAGAGCTGTCTTTCCCCTTCTACCACATGAGGACACAGAGAGAAGGTTCCATCTACAAACCAGGAAACAAGCTCTCACCAGACAACATCTGCTGGCACCTTGATCTTGGACTCTAATAAGTAAATTTCTGTGGTTTACGAGCTACCCCATCTGTGGTATTTGGTATTTTGTTATAGAGGCTGAATGGACTAAGACACAGCAACAACCATCTTATTAAGAGGTGCATATTTTATATGTAATGTTTATTTATCAAAATTATAATATATTTATGTTATAATGTATTAATAATAAATGTAATAATAATTTAATCCAAAATAAGTTTTAACACTTACAAGGTCTTATGGCCAAAGAGAAAATTAAATGTATGTGCATATTTTGATGTAGAGAAATAGGACAATCAACAAAAGAATTTCCAACCTGAAAATGTTTATACTAAGGTAAGATGCTGAGAGAGAAATACAGTTAGGAAAACAAGAAGGGTATAAAATGAGCTTGTTCATATTTATGTAAACAGAATATTGAGTATTATTGTGTTTATATACCATTGGATACATATAATGAGTAATATCATTATTTTATTTTGTAATGCCAGCACTCATGATGTATGGGATGGCAATCACATTAACTAATTAAAATTATGATGAAAAACTTCAGGTATCGATCTAAAGAGGTAAAATTTAACAATGTTTAAAACAATAATTTAGGAAGTATATGAGGAAAAAAAGGCCAAGATCACTATTTTAAATGCTATAGAATGTCCAAAGACATTCTGTGTAGGCAGTGTTTTCCTTTTTAAAGTATAGTCCATAGACAGTAATACCTAGTGAGGGGTATGTTTTTAGTCTGGTTAGAAATCTGTGTTAACAGTAATATGGGGACAATTACTGGAAAAAAGAAAATGAGTAGGGCAGTTACTGTCCTAGTTCAAAGCATGCAGAGAGGGAGTACATAAAACCGTAGAGAAGATGGGCAATATGATCACAAACTGATAGAATCTAGGTTGGAGACTTAGAAAAGGAGAATATCCTATTAGTAAAATGACCTTTCAGAAAGACTTCAACACATTTTGCCACCAATTGAAAAGAATCCATGGAAACAAGATAAAAGAGAAAGGTAGTCTGAGAGTTATTTAGGGAAGGATGTTAAAGGCCATTTGCATTCATAAGAGGATGGGAGAGGTGTAGGAAGGAGGTGAGAATATTTGTCTAAAGAATCACATTACACTAGGAGATAAAAAACATAAGATTCATTTAGTTTGACTCCACGTTTCTGAGAAGGAAGACATGAAATAGAAAAAAAGGTGCATTTTGTGGGTGACAAAGGAATGTAAAGACATATGTGTGTACATACACAGACACACACACAATTATAGGGAGAAAGGGAATATTGGAAAGTATCTCTTCTTTGTTAAGTGTTGAACAAAAAAATAAAGACCACAAATAATACCGGATTTGATGGCAAATTTAAATAGGTTTATTTTCAACTTAGATCAACACATTGTTGTGATATAATTAGACATTTTATCTTCCATATTATTTATACATTCAACAAAAAATGAATAGCTGCTGTTTGCAAGGCACCCTGCTAGGTGTCAGGATATATGTGGACAGGCACAGTCTGCTCCCTGCCCATAAATTCCTTCAAATCTCAGAGAAAAGCACAAAAGCATCTGAATAGCTTCAGGAGCAAGCAATATGTTATGATACAAACAAGAGAAACAATTTTCAACTTGGATAGGCAGGGAAAAATTAATTCATTTACTGCTTTGCACAAATCTTCATGTGCACATTATACTGTGTTTGGGGAGCCGGGTGTAGCAGTGACTGCATGGAAGTGCATGGAAGAGTTTGCTGATTGTGCTAAGGCCACGTGAAGTTCTCCATGGTGGTGGTAGCTGCCTGCAGTTTGAGGCAAAAATACTTTTTTTTGTCCATTTGCATGCATTTTTCTATTATCTTTAGTCTTTTTGTCCTTCCCAGCACCTCACAATGTAGCACTTTGTTATAATACGGTCAATCAGCTTAGCACGACATTCAAGGCTTTTCATGGTGTGGTTCTGTGTCCGGAATTGGTGGTTTCTTGGTCTCGCTGACTTCAAGAATGAAGCCGCGGACCCTCGCAGTGAGTGTCACAGCTCTTAAGGTGGCGCGTCTGGAGTTTGTTCCTTCTGATGTTCGGATATGTTTGGAGTTTCTTCCTTCTGGTGGGTTCGTAGTCTCGCTGGCTCAGGAGTGAAGCTGCAGACTTTCGCGGTGAGTGTTACAGCTCATAAAAGCAGTGTGGGCCGGGCGCGGTGGCTCACGCCTGTAATCCCAGCACTTTGGGAGGCCGAGCCGGGCGGATCACGAGGTCAGGAGATCGAGACCATCCCGGCTAAAATGGTGAAACCCCGTCTCTACTAAAAATACAAAAAATTAGCCAGGCGTAGTGGCGGGCGCCTGTAGTCCCAGCTACTTGGGAGGCTGAGGCAGGAGAATGGCGTGAACCCGGGAGGCGGAGCTTGCAGTGAGCCGAGATCCCGCCACTGCACTCCAGCCTGGGCGACAGAGCGAGACTCCATCTCAAAAAAAAAAAAAAAAAAAAAAAAAAAAAAAAAAAAAAAGGCAGTGTGGACCCAAAGAGTGAGCAGCAGCAAGATTTATTGCAAAGAGTGAAAGAACAAAGCTTCCACAGTGTGGAAGGGGACCCCAGCGGGTTGCCACTGCTGGTTCAGGCAGCCTGCTTTTATTCTCTTATCTGGCCCCACCCACATCCTGCTGATTGGTAGAGCCCAGTGGTCTGTTTTGACAGGGCGCTGATTTGTGCGTTTACAATCCCTGAGCTAGACACAAAGGTTCTCCACGTCCTCACTAGATTAACTAGATACAGAGTGTCGATACAAAGGTTCTCCAAGGCCCCACCACAGTAGCTAGATACAGAGTGTGGATTGGTGCACTCACAAACCCTGAGCTACACACAGGGTGCTGATTGGTGTGTTTACAAACCTTGAGCTAGATACAGAGTGCTGATTGGTGTATTTACAATCCCTGAGCTAGACATAAAGGTTCTCCACCTCCCCACCAGACTCAGGAGCCCAGCTGGCTTCACCCAGTGGATCCCGCACCAGGGCTGCAGGTGGAGCTGCCTGCCAGTCCTGCGCCGTGCACTTGCACTCCTCAGCCCTTGGGTGGTCGATGGGACTGGGTGCCGTGGAGCAGGGGGTGGCACTCGTCGGGGAGGCTGGGGCCGCACAGGAGCCCATGGAGGGGGTGGGAGGCTCAGGCATGGCGGGCTGCTGGTCCCGAGCCCTGCCCCGCGGGAAGGCAGCTAAGGCCTGGTGAGAAATCTAGCTCAGCACCGGTGGGCTGGCACTGCTGGGGGACCCAGTACCCGCTGGCCCGGGTGCTAAGTCCCTCACTGCCCGGGGCTGGCAGGGCTGGCCGGCTGCTCCCAGTGCGGGCCCGCCAAGCCCACGCCCACCCGGAACTCCAGCTGGCCTGCAGGCACCGTGCACAGCCTCGGTTCCCGCTCGGGCCTCTCCCTTCACACCTCCTGGCAAGCTGAGGGAGCTGGCTCTGGCCTTGGCCAGCCCAGAAAGGGGCTCCCACAGTGCAGCGGTGGGCTGAAGGGCTCCTCAAGTGCCGCCAAAGTGGGAGCCCAGGCCAAGGAGGCGCGGAGAGAGAGCGAGGGCTGTGAGGACTGCCAGCACGCTGTCACCTCTCAGTTCCAACTTCCCTTCCAGCTCTGTCTTCCACTATCCTCCCTCCTTTCATTCGTTTCATCTCTTGTCACCTCATGTTTCCCCTCCAGAAACACTCTGAATTGTTGTAGACCTCTGTTCCTTTGCTCTGTTTCTTTGCCTGGAATGCACCTTTTTCTGTCTGGCCTTGAATGTGTGTTTCCTTCACTTCTGCTTTCTGAAATCTTTGTCACCTGTCCTTAAGTCTTAGTTCACAGGTCAGTTCTTCTATGAAGCCATCCAGATCCCCTAGTCAAAATTACTCCCTTCCTTCTATGTCTTCCCATAGCACTTAGTCTTCTTTATGATGTATGCAGTTTCCTGGTGTCACAATTTAAACCCATTCTTGACTCCTCATTATCAGATCTTAAACTTCTTGCACATTACTAGACAAATAGGAAGTGCTTTAAAAAGTTACTGTCCACTGTAATAAAGTACTCATTTATTGAATCTGGTGATCACGTCCAATAGGAGGTACAGTGGTTTATTGCTAGCACCTTGTTTTTCAGAAACTTAATCCCATATTCCTGGAGACCCCAGAAGAATATGGAACACAGGGCAGATGTTCAATAAATGTCTAGAGCTTGTATCTGAATGTACACATGTGGATGAAGAGCCCAGATAACTCCTTCTCAGCATCATCACTTACATGATAGTAGATCTGGCATCAGTGTTAGCAGCTCTGAGACTTTCTTTTCCTTTCTAGTCTCTGTTTCAAAGTATGCTGCATTCCTTACGGCAGGTTACATTGGGCTGGCACATTCTTCTGCTGCTGGGACTTTCTGACAGTGCATAACCAGACTGTGGGGTGAGAATCAAGGCTTCAGGGAGCCATTAAAGCATTAGTTACATTTGCCCTGTTTGTGATCGCCTCATTCCAACATGCTGGCCCCGGCAGCACTTGCAGGTCATGGTGTTAACCGTGTTCTGTATATCCAGATGAGTGCAGCGATGAGCATTCACCCAGGCCCAAGCACCTGGCTTTGCTTCAGCACCTCATGGCTCATGAACCTGGTTTTCTGTTGAACCTTCAGGAGACCCTGCAGAAGATACTGAGCTAAGCGCTCTGGGAACCAGCTGACTGAGCAGATCCCAGCCTCACAGCTGCTCTGCTCATAAACCTCGCCTTACAGGCTATGAGTCCAACTGGGTCTTGACACCATAGTGACACCACCCTCCCCTCGCCCAGCTCCTTTCAATCATGCCAGCCTTCCTGATTTCTGAGTTCCTCTTAGATTCACGGATCAATGAACTGTGTGTCACTAGCAGCAGTTTTATGGTAATGGTTTTCAGCCCAGTGAAAATATTCAGCTATGGCCAGAGATTTCCTGGCTGTTCTAATTATCTATTATTGCATTCCAAACTACCCCCAAAACTTAGAGGTTTAAAAGTATTTTATTATTCCAATGGTATCTATGATTCTGTGGATCAGGAATCTAGGCCTCTGGAGGGATGATTCATCTCTGCTCCCTGCTGTATGGTGCTTCATCTGTGATGCTTCCAATAACTGAGAGCTAGAACAACTGGAGCTGTTGGGGAATAGTTGGCCTCCTTATGTGGAGGGCCAGGCTAGTTAGTGCTCCAGGACGAAGGAGGTGGAACTTCCTTAAGTACCACTCTGTTAACTTCTGGGCCTGGAAACTGGTGCTACTTTCATTGTATTCAATTGGTTGTGAGTCTTAGGGACAGCCCAGATTCCAGGGATTGAATACTGGGAGGAGTTGGTTCACATGGGCCTCTTTAGAGATAAGTTTCACAGTGATATAGGTTGGTATAGGATTTCTCTGTGTATGTGACTTGGTATCATACATAGGTGTGTATATAATTAAGTTAATTTTATATGGATTTATGATTAATATCTTTATTACATAATTTAATAAAGTTAACTAAAAGCAACTTCCATTTAAACCTTAAATTACTAATATAATTTTGACAAGCTACACAAGCAAAGCTATCTCTTTGCTTTGTGACCCGACCTACTTAATCTGAAAGGGAACAGAGAAGAAAAAGTCACCAATATTTATTGAGCATTTCCAAAGCATCCTGTGATTTTTTTATATGTTATTATATTTAATTCAACAATCACATGAGCTTTCTGATATTTACAGACAAGAGCATCAAGTAAGTGATTGCATAAATGGCCAAAAATTCTTTTCCTATCATCAAGAGAGGGATTCTATTTCTCCAGGCTTTGAATTTGTGCTGGACTTCTACCCTACTTTGTCCAGTAGAATGCAGTGGAAGTGAGGGTGGAGAAGTTCTGAGTCTGGATCACAAGGGTCTGCACACACCTATTCTCACTCTTTGAACTCTGCCACCACAACGTAAACAAGCCCAGGTCTCCTGCTGGAGAATGAGATGAGAGATCACATGGAACAAAGATGAGCTGTCCTACCTGAAGCCCTAGACATGTGAGACAGACAAAAATCAGCAGTAGTAATGTAGCAGTGGACAAAAGATGCATGAGTGACCTCAGAAGAGACAGAAGAGCCACCCAGCTGAACTCAGTCCAAGTTGCTGATCAATGCATAATATTGTGCTAAATAAATTTTTTAGTTACTAAGTGTTGGGGTATCTTATTATCCAGTAAAATTTTACTGGTCCATGAAGCTCAAAGAGTTTAAAGTAAAATCTTATCATGTGTCTTAGTTGTTAGGTCACATGACTAACAAGCACTGAAACCTTGTAATTAATAATGACAACTACTTAGAAGTGGAGGATGCCCATAAACCTTGTGTCACATTCACTGAGTTGAGCACTTGTGTAGTTGTGCACTTCGTTGTGTAATTCTACATGAACTGATATGGGCAGGATTGAATTTTTAAAAGATTTAGGCAGGGTATAGCCTCTAAAGTAAAGACACATTTACAGAACTTTGGATTTGCCCAGAGTGGGCATGGGAATTTTACTGACCTGGCAAGCACATTAATTTGTATGTGTCGATGATATTCTTTGGTACACAACATACTTGAATGCATTTGTTGTTTTCTTATCAGTATGTTTTAAAATTGAAATATATATTCTTAAAAATGTGAGGAATGTCTGGGGCACATCAGAAAGATCTAATGTTCCTACTGAAAACAGTTTAAAACCTTTTGACCTGAAATATTAACATTACTTACCATAGAATGACTTGTACCTGATTCTGATTTTTTAAGACTAGTTCACAAAATATCAACCAAAAATTTCAGCTTGCTTTCAGTGTTTGATGCAATTATCCATCCTATTTTACTAAGTGTTCGAGGTTTCAGAAAGGGTCTGGATAGGGGAGGTGGAGGTTGGACTGTTCCCCTGCAGTGGAAATTTATCATGTGCACCTTTACTTTGCTTCAGGCTCTGTGATGGGCATTGGCAGACTTCCTAAGTGACATCTTCCAACCAGATGACCTTCTCTGCTGTGGGCTGCTGCCTTTGCATGCTCAGATGAGAGAAGGTGATGACTGAAATTTGTCATCACAGATGGCTTTGAACCGTCTGTGATGCAGGTGATGGGAAAGTATCGATGATAGAGTTTTCTGCAGAGTTTCAATATCAAGTGGCCCAGCAAATGGGTAAATTGTGTTTGAATCTCCATTCACAGGTCAATTGTGAACTGCTTAAATTGTCTGTGAACTCAGGGTCTGGCATTAAGCAAATGACAGTAATATCAAACTGGTAGGCTAATGCTGTTTTCATAGGTGATCAAGCCACTGGATACTTTGAGAGTAGCTACCTCATCCAGACTGCTTTTGCCTTATCTTCTACCCAGATCATCCACAACAGATTGAAGCAGCTGGCTATTTGCAAAGCAATTGACTACATTTTATGACTACAGGACTACAGAGATGAGATGCTAGCCTATTTGACACCCATTTCCTGCCTATAAGTTAATTAATAGAGCAAAGCAAGACTGTTTGCTCACCCCCAGGGAGAGAACAGGTAGTAACCACTCCTGCTTCACTGAGTTAGCACTGATGGCAAAGAACAACCTGATTAAGGCCAGTGGTTTTATTTTGGTTAATGTTGTGTTTTGTTTATTTAAAAAATCTGTGAGGGTAGATAAAGGATTTTTTTTCCGGCTTCTATAGCAATGCATAGGCAACATGATACAAGCCAATAACTTTTTAAAAAAGTGCTAGTACCAGATAGCTTTTTATTTTGTGGAGGCAAAGTAAGGTTGATGTTTGTCCCCAAAACCCTTTTTGCCATTTCAGCATAGCAAATACACCACACCCTAGAGCTAGAACCACACAGGTTTCACGTTTTAGCAGGATCAAAAACTGTATCATACTAGAAAAATATAAGGAATAAAGAATTGGGAGCATAATTATTTAAATAATAACAATAGTAATTGTAGCATTATAATTGTATGTCTTTATGGTTTTGAAAGTGCTCATATGGAGAATATGCCGTTTGATGGTTTCCCTGTGAGATTGATTAATACTTCATAGTTGAGGAAACTGAAGTTGGTGTGTGGGAAGCCAACTCTGAACTAGAGTCTAGTGTGCCAGTGTTTACTAAGGAGTGTCTTTGGGATCAATACCTATGCAAGGGAGGAATGGAAAGCAGGATTGGGCTGAGGGAGAAGTTGGCATGTGATGTGTGCCAACTATTTGGCCTAATGACAGCCTGGGCTGACCCCACAGAGATTCTAGCTAGAAGCACCCTGCAGAGCTTCCCTGAGTTGTGTTGAGATGCCAGGCTTTTATTTACCTTCATCGCTGGACGTGGGCCACCCTGGGAAGGAAGGTGGCCTTGGGCGAGGCAGTGCTCTGCTGCTGAGGCAATCGCTAAGTAGTCTGACAACTAAAAGCTATCTGCCAACAGCATTCTCAGCAGCGGGTGAGTTCTTCACTGGAGAGAGATTTGGGCAGTTAATTCCTCCTGCTGCTTGAATTCAGTTTTTTTGTTTTTTTTGTTTTCCCGAGACAGAGTCTTGCTTTGTCGCCCAGGCTGGAGTACAGTGGCACGATCTTGGCTCACTGCAACCTCTTCCTCCCGGCTTCAAGTGATTCTCCTGCCTCAGTCTCCCGAGTAGCACGGATTACAGCTGCATGGCATCATGCCCGGCGAATTTTTTTTTATTTTTAGTAGAGACAGGGTTTCACCATGTTGATCAGGCTGGTCTTGAACTCCTGACCTCATGATCCACCCTCCTCGGCCTCTCAAAGTGCTGGGATTACAGCCGTAAGCCACTTGCGCCCAACCTGAATTCAGTTTTTCCTATTTATTTTGGGACCAGCTCTATCAGGACTCCAGAGGACTTCTTCCTGGGGAAACTTGGAAGAAGAAGGTTAGCACAATGAAGTGATAGCTCCACTGCTGAAACTGGTCCTAGGGCCACAATTGCTATTCATATCCCTTTCCAAGTACCCGTTCTAGATTTTTCTTACATTCAGCTAGCATCTTTGCTGGTCCTACTGGCTTACCTAGTGTTGGGATCCAGATCTTATTCACTGAGGAATCTGAGCCCTGATCACTATGCCCTTATAAGGCCCAGGTTGCTTCACTTGTCCAATTACAGTAAAAATTAGCCAAAAATGTTCCAAAAGGTACCCTGTGGATTGATCGGACACCAGACTTATTCCTCTCTACGTCTATTGTGTAACAGCAACCCTACCTCCTCTCGTTGATCAGGAAATATTTCTTCTGCTAGAATCGTGACTCTTCTTGCCTGCTGGTCCCTTGGCATAAGAAATCCGAAGTGAGTAGTCAGCAGTAATGGTTTATAATTCAACAGGATTCTCTGTGTATCCTTTGGCAAAAGTGATCTCTATTTAGGAATGAGAACCTCTAAACCTTCAGAGCCCAGATTTATGAAGAGAAAAGCACAAATTTCTCAAGCTGGTCCCTGGGAGTGATAGGAAGTGGTGTTGCTCCATTTCTTATCCCCTGATGCCTGGACTCATGTATTCTTTCTTTTGGAGATATGGCACCATATAAAATACTTCAATTTACCGTGTGTACTGCGTCTTGAAAGGTGGTGCCCCAGACTGTAAAATATTGCATCCCCAAGTATTGCTTCAACTATGCCTTTAAAAGGCTATTCTGGCTGGGCGTGGTGGCTCACCCCCGTAATCCTAACACTTAGGGAGGCTGAGGCAGGTGGATCACAAGGTAAGGAATTCAAGACCAGCCTGATCAAGATGGTGAAACCCCCTTTCTACTAAAAATACAAAAAATTACCCAGGTGTGGTGGTGGGCACCTATAATCCCAGGTACTTGGGAGGCTGAGGCAGAGAATTGCTTGAGCCCAGGGTCGGGGGGGTGTTGCAGTGAGCCGAGATCGCGCCGCTGCACTCCAGCCTGACAGCCTGAGTGACAGAACGAGACTCTGAAAAAAAAAAAAAAAGCCATTCCGATGCTATGTTCGGTTGGAAGCTTCTGGTTGCTGTGTTTTGTGATATGATCAGTGAATCCCATTGTCATGGGTCCACTTTCATACCTCCTTTATTCAAAGTGTGTGCCCTAGTCTGATGCAATGCTATGTGGGATCCTGTGACAGTAAATCAGACAGCCCATATGTCCTATGGGCAGGAAAGCATAAAATACTCGTCTATTTCACTCAGAATGAATTTCTTGCCTTTTCAGAGTAGAAGGAATCTGTTATAGTCAGCTTGGCACTACAAATTATTTGTCAGCTTAGTTTCCTTGAAGTCATGTGCTGTATTAAAGACTCATTGTTGGTCTCTGTCCAGGCAGGTGGATCTTTTGCAGTGGCAGGAGCTAGATTGCCCTTTGGTGGGCTGTTGGACCCATGCTATTAACTCAGCCTCCATCCCTGCTGCCTAGGCTCTCTCCTATGCTCACCACATCAGCACTGGGACAGCTGATTATAGAGGCTCACTGATAACAACTGATTTTTTTTTTTTTTTGAGATGGCGTCTCCCTCTGTCGCCCAGGATGGAGTGCAGTGGCACAATCTCGGCTCACTGCAAGCTCCGCCTCCCGGGTTCATGCCATTCTCCCGCCTCAGCCTCCCGAGTAGCTGGGACTACAGGCACCTGCCACCACACCCGGCTAATTTTTTGTATTTTTAGTAGAGACGGGGTTTCACCGTGTTATCCAGGATGGTCTCGATCTTCTGACCTTGTGATCCGCCTGCCTTGGCCTCCTAAAGTGCTGGGATTACAGGCATGAGCCACCGCACCCAGCCTACTGATTGGTTTTTTAGTGCTCTTAGGTGGGCACTAACATGCAAATTTAGGTCACACTTCATACCCACTTCCATATGTCCTTTCACATGTCCCTACCCAAGACATCTCGTCCTTGATTTTCCAATTTTGTTTTCCTTCCAGAATCCTGACCAGTCACCCAAGCCATTTTCACTCCCCATAATTTCATATATATTCCAACCTTGGGCACTTTTCTTCAATACAAAGTGGATAACCAGGTGCACTATGCAAAGTGCTGCTCCTCATTGGGAGGATTTTCTCTGGCCACTGTTTTTCAAGGGTACCCCATAAGTGAGGCTATAGCAAAGCTTCCATCTGTGGAGAGAGGTAGCTTTCATTTCTTAGTCCCCATTATGATAGTGTTCACTTCATTGACTAAGGATTTAACATGGGTGTTGTACCTACCTATCAAGTATGTTTATTCTGACTATATATTCAGGGATTTGAGAAATGATCACGAGGTGGGCCTGTGGATCCAGTGGAATCACTATGAACAAAAGCATGGTAGGATTCCACGTATTACCTGACTCTCATTACCCCCATTCTAAGAGACAGGCCATGATGATTCTTCAGGACTCCAGGTACCTATGTCAACTCAGACCGTTTCCAGTGGTCCTAAAAATATTTGTATCTTTCCCTAGCATAAATGGCCATAGGTCCCCTTAGGGAAGGATCAGGGCAATAAATTCTGTGTACACTTGACTGTGGTGTTAGAGGGTATTGGAGAGCTCCTTCCTTCTGCAGACCTACCTTCTTCCTCAGTCAATGGATTCTCTGTACAAAAACTTGCTCAGGTCTGGAAATTCTGCAAAAGATTCTGACATTTTATACGAGACATCACCCTCAAACTCCTCATAATCCATGCTTGATTTATTTTGATGCTGCAAACTGAATCATATTCTTGTTGCCTATTTGGCCTCTAGGAGACTGTCTTCTGTTAACCATCACAATAACTCTCCTCAAGTCCCCCTGATTTCAGCCTTACTACTCATTATTATAATTACTCTCACCTGGATTTTGACACCTAAGTGTTGCTCAGTAGCCTCTACTGCTTCAAGATGCTATCTTCTGCATTGCAGTCCATGAGCCTAGCAGTGTAATGGTCTCTCCTCCCATCAGCCCTGACCTACCCTCTCACTAGTTTGCTCCTATGGCCCTAGCAAATTGTACACCCTCCAGGCCTTCCTAAGAAACATAATCATCTGGTGGGTTTTCAGGCCTTACCTTGTATAACCACTTCAGTGTGCCTCTTCTTTCAGCCTTTAAGCCACTTTCCACCATCTGTCATCCAATTCTGACTTTTTCACCTCATTTAGCATGGGTCTTGCCTTCTTCCATGCCTTTTGAAGCCTTGCTAGTAGCAAGTTCACACCATCTACTGGGGTCTTTGCCAACGGATTAGGTATTATTTCCCAGGAGAATACTCTCAAATTAATCTTTTAAAAATCCAACCTTATGTTCTGGCCTTCTTGACCAAGCCCCCTCAGAATGCAATTTCATGTATACCGCTGTTTGTCCAAGCTGGCTGGAACTTGCAGCAGCTCTGGTAGAGTCTCTTTTTTGAGGGGATATATATTATCTGCTAGAGGGGAGAGCTCTTTGTATCATCTTCAAGCAAGGATAGGAGAAGTGTTAGCTCTGGATAGGTAAGAATGGGCTGCTTCTGTAGCTTTCAGAGAGCTCTGGGGACTCTGGTCTGGGGATCTAAAATTTTTGGTGGGCATCAACTGAGATGTTTCATCCAGTGTGTCATAGTCCCATCCTTTTCCAAGCAAGGATCTGACCTTGGCATAGTAGCTCTTGCTTGGATAGGAGTTTAACTTTATTTAGGACTCAGCTGCTCTGGCAATTACATCCTGGGTCTGGTTCTCAGCTTTCTCTGCCTTATCTGCAAGGGTGAAACCTCTTTGTAATCTGTCAAGGAAGCTCTTTGGCTTCACGCATAACTTTTAATCAGTAATTAATCACTCAGCTACTCAACCACCCCACACACACTCCCACTGCTGCCTCCTCTGTAATATCTAGCATAGCAATGGCCAACTAATTCTATTATCCTTGTAGCCACTCTTTGTCCTATATATCTCGGACACTAGCTAATATACTTCCTTCTACTAGTATACCATCCCAATTGACCACTGCTGAAAGTTTTAAGAATTGAATTGCTGCCCTATGTCAGGGGCTATCTGTGCATTACCTAGCACCAGAGAGAAGTCCTTTTTGCTAGCTGGGCATGGATCCATGATCCAGCTCCAAAACCCCATCTTAGGACAGTTTTTCCTGGGATCATTTATGGTACCAGGTGTTGTAAATTGGGTCCCTGAGAGCAGAATCTGCATGTTTCACCTGCATGATGCTTATGGTAGAGTGCTCTTGAGATCAACAACACCTCTACCTGCCCTCATTACTCAGTCATTGATTGTTAGCCGCTCTGGAAAGAGACATAACCTTGGGATGTGACTTTGGATGAGGCAGTGCTCTGCCATTGAATCAATCTCTTTTTTCTTCAGAGACAGGGCCTCGCTCTGTTGTCCAGGCTGGAGTGCAGTGGCAAAAACGTAGCTCACTGTAACCTCAAATTCCTGGCCTCATACAATCCTCCCACCTCAGCCTCCCTAGTAGCTAGGACTACAGCCATGTGCCACTGAGCCTGGCTCCACTGAAGCAATCTCAAAAGAAGCCATCAGTACTCCCAACAGCTGGGACAGCAGGTCCTATTGAAAGAAGTTCTGGGTGCGCACCAGTGACCACCACAGTGACTTATTCGCAGGGCGTGTACCCCATAGCTCTGTGGTCATCTTTCTGAACTTTCGAGGGCACAACTGCTCTTCCTAAACTGCAAGCTCCTAAGTGTGGTTAGCGAACTTAGGCCATGCCTGCAGGTGTTTCTAACAATTGACTGGTATGAGATACAAAAAGAGAGGAAGAGAGAAATTGGGGATGGGAAAGAGAAAAAACAGAGGCACCCCATTGACTGGAGCAGTGATCTAGGACCACATGGGGCCGGTGAGGATGCTCGCCCCAGGATTATCCAGATTGGCTGGTGTTGGCTCTCAATAGGTAGGTGCTGCCCTGAGATCTGTTTCTGTGATAACTTGGTATGAAGACTAGGTGTAATCAAGGCTTTCAAAGATTCATCCTGTAGCCTGCATGATTTGCTTCACTGCAAAATTGGTTTCAGATAATTAGTCACAGAGATAAAGCTATTGTGTTTGTCACATGTCGCAGTCACATTGATGTAATTTATAGCTTAAGATTGACCAGTGAAAAGTTGCTACACACACATTTTTTGCTTCTAACTATTTATGCCTTGTGCCCATATCCTTGCCCTTTCCAGAGTCTGACATGAGTTCTCTTTAGGGCTTTCTTAGAGCCCCCTTTGCCTTCCTAGGGTGGAACCCCCTGGTCGGGTACTTCAGTTGCAACAAATGTACCCAAATGAGTGATCTACATCGCGGGTGCTGCTTACCTTGGAGTGTGTTTACTTCTTCCAGTGATGCTGCTGGAAAAGAAGCTGCCCCAAACGGTTTTGGAACTTGCCTATTGCAATTCCACAGAATGTCAGTTTGAACCCCATAGGCAAATTGTTACTTTATTGTCATACACTATATTCAAACTAAATCACAAGTTTAGTAGCCCATTTAACTAAGAAATGTACAAAGCATAGGGATTTTAATGTGAGGAGTATTAATAAGAATGTCATGACTAAGCATATTAGAAGTCAAAGCACATACTGAGAATTCTTTTCCCTATTAAATCCATAAATAGTAACCATTTGACATGCAGACTCTAAGTTAGTAATTATAAGGCAAATGCACTTTTGATAATTTTCTTTACATGGCTAATTTATTCTTCTACCTTGTCAGATAAAGAATTTTACCTTTAAATATTCCTCTTTTTTTCTTTCAAACATTTCCCACTTCTTTATTCTCCTTGACAGGAAGATGACAGCAGCTCTATTGAATGGCAACAAGCTGGGATATGTCATTAAATTTTAATCACCTTCCTTCCTGTGAAGCTGATAATTGGAGATCATTTAATAGAGCCTGCTGCTCTGTTGGCTCTTTGTAAATCCCTCACAAAGGAGTCACATGTAAAAGGCAGAGTGCAGTTATCACTATAACCCAAGTTCATCTCAATCATGGATCTTATGCCAAATGCCCCAGTACCCAAATGCCATGAGCTCAAGCACCTCCCTTGGGCACATATTAGATTTTCTTTCATTTCTTCCCTCTTAACCAATGAAACAATTGTAACACAATATAGAAATTGGTAGGCCAGTTTTACTTATCAGAGAGCAAGCTTTCCTCTTCTCAAAGGCACCTTCTCACAGGAACTCAGAAGTTGCCTCTAGGCTCTGTATTGAGGGGGAAGGGGGTATATGAGAACTTTCTGTATCTTCCTTTCAATTTTGCTGTGAACCTAAAACTGCTCTAAAAAATAAAGTCTTTTAATGTAACCAAACAAAGCTGCCTCCTAACTCCCTTCTGCTTTGCTCACTGACAACAATGGATGTGACAACTGACTACGAATGCTCTCTTGCCTGGTGCAGCTATTTTAATTTCATCAATGAATTACTGTTTCTCATGGTCTTGTGACTCTCCAGCCAATGTTGCTTACACTTTTTCTCTTTTTCATCCCATCTCTATAGAGCTAGGCTTCTTTTTTCAAAGCTTCATCCTAACAAGCTTCCAAGTCTGTGGAAGGAATTATTTTGCTGATATGTAGCTTAAAAGGCTCAAAGCTCATTTTCCAATTCTGCACTCTTTAAGAAACTTTCAGCCCTCACATTGAGCATCTCTGCATAAGTGGGAACACTCATTCACTCATTCTTCCCTCAGCCATCCATTTGGCATATATTTATTTTGTGTATGACACACTCTTCCAGTATTAAGGATATAGCTGAGAATCGAACAGGTGTGGTTCCTGTTGTTGAAGAGCTAATAATCTAGTGGAGAGACAGAATCACATAAACGGGTGCATGAATACTTGATTACAATTATGATGACTGCCATAAAAAAGCATGCAGGATAAGAACATGCAACAGGGATATGTGGCCAATATGATTAATATTTCTTGAACAAACATGTGGTACAGCTTCTTAAGTGCCGGGGGTTTTGGAGGCACTTAAGTATCTTGTCTTATGTAACCAGCACAACGACCCTTTGGGACAGATAGCATAGATCTTATTTTACATACTAGGTAACTGAGGATCCAAGGGGTTCAACCACTAACTGAGGTTCCGAAGCGAGTAAGTGGTAGCATTTTTGTGTGTGTGTGTCTGGAACATGTACTTTAATCATTAGGCCATACATTAGGCAGGTTGGAATTCAGAGTCCTGGCTAGGACTTACTTTAGGTGAGGAGTCAGGTGGTGGACTTCGGAGGTCATTTTCATGTTTTTTCCCCAAACATTAGCAATTTCAGAGAGTGGGATAATTAGATTACAACAGGTAGCACTGTTGAAACTGGGACAGAAGTTCTCAAGGTTGTCACGTTTGTGGGTAAGGAGGGCACCTTCCTTCTTTTGAAAAGAATCATTCATAATTTTGCATGTAAATGTCAAAGTATTCATGAAAATTTTGAAATCTTTATTTTTTTTGGTATCAGGAGGTGGATTAATTGAGCTTAGTAAAAAGTCTGAAGAGTGATATAGTTTAGGAATTAAGATCTCTGACTCTACAGTCAGCAGGCCCTGGTTTAAATCATGACTCTAATATTTCTTGGGCATTTTTTTAAACTTCTTGGAGCCTCAATTTCTTCATGTGTAAGACGAGAATGACAATGATACTTTTTCCGGGAGAGGTTGCAAAGACTAAATGTGACAGTGCTTATTCAAACCCTTAATACAGTGCTAACTATTCAACAGCGGGACTGTAGCATGGTTATCTCTGCTTTGCTATTATTCCTATTATGTTCCTGAAAGCATGGCTTAGTCAGCTTGGGCTGCCATAGCAAAATATCATAAACCGGGAGCCTAAAGCAGCAGGAACTTGTTTCTCACAATTCTGGCATCTGGAAGTCTAAGAGCAAGGTGTTGGTCCATTTGGTTCCTCTATGAGGGCTCTTTCCTGGCTTACAGATGGCTTCCTTCTCCATGTGCTCTCATGAGAGAGAGAAAGAGAGAGGGAGAGAGAGAGAGACAAAGGCAAGCTTCTGCTGTCTCTTTTTTTTTAGGAGCACTAATCGCATCGTGAGGGCTCCACCTTCATGACCTCATCTAAACCTAATTCCCTTCCAAAAGCCCCATCTACAAACACCATCACATTGGAAAAGTTAGGTCTTCAACATACGAATCTGGGGGATCTCAATTCAGTCTATAGCAAAGCATGAATGCATTGTGAGAAATGGTGGATCCAAGATTCTGAGATACACAGTTTGGGAATGACGTGATGAAGTGATGCAAGGGTTTTTTTCTGCTATTTTTGTTGCTGTTAAGTTGATTTGTGAGACCTGTTTCTGAGCAAAACGCTAAGGGTGAAATTATATTGAGCTCATTACTCTGAAGTGGACACAAATCTGACTAAATACATTATTAGGTAAATAAAATATGGGTTACAGATATCGATAAACATGAGGAAAATTCTTTTCTACTTATTTCATTTATTTAGTTTACTAATTTTATTTTCTTTGTAGTGATTGACTTAAAAGTAGAATTGACTATACTAGAAACCCTGGACTATGGGTGTACAGAGCTCTGAAAGAAGTTTAATTTATTATTATTACTTTTTCCCTGAGAAATGTCTTGTATTTAAATAATCTTTGCCCATCCTACTGATATGCCAAATTAATCCACACAATGTTTTCCTTTAACATTCTAGGCTCAGGGATTTCTATATGAAGCCCTATCTTTATTTTCTTTCTTCTTGATTTTTATATGTGTGTTTCATACTTCTATGACCGTCATCACAGGATGCATTCAGATGGTTCCTGGTTCAGTGAGTTCATGGATATTTATTTTTCTGTGTTGCAGGGCCTCTCACATTCTCTCATTTAACAATATTTGTGGAGTGTCTGTTTTGTGTCAGGCTTCACTCTAGCAGCTGGGTAGATAGAGCAATGCAACAAAATACTGCTCTCTTGGAAGTTAGCTGATTGATGATCATGACGTTTTTACTTAAAATGGGCTTATTCTTGGCCTTTTGTGTGTGAAACATTGGTTAGATTTTCACTCAGTGAATCTCAGAAGTCTTTATTTATTTTAATTACCTTATACAAAACCATGCAAATCAAGTTACTGAGACAGGGCTGGGTTTAGAGAACAATCTCATGTTTGGCACTAAAGTGAAATTGTAAGGTATATAAAATTAAGGGAGATGAGGAGGCATACAAATATTTTGGATAACACTGTTGGAATGAGTAACTACACACAAGTGGCAATTTAGTATTTCATTTTCATATACCTTATGCTTTATTCTTCCTCTTCAAAGAAGAAAACACTGTATAAACGATCCTCATATGGCTTAACCTCCTAAAGTGGAATGTTAAGGTTTTATTCCATATGAGAGTGTTGATATGGTTTGGATCTGTTTCCCTGCTCAAATCTCATGTCGAATTGTAATCCCCAGTGTTGGAGGTGAGGCCTAGTGGGAGGTGATTAGATCATGGGGTAGATTTCCCTTTCTGTTGCTGTTCTCATGATAGAGTTCTCACGAGATCTGGTTGTTTACAAGTGCACAGCACCTCCCCACTCTCTCTCTTGCTCCTACTCTGGCCATGTAAGACATGCCTGCTTTCCTTTCCCCTTCTGCCATGATTGGAAGCTTCCTGAAGCCTCCCCAGAAGCAGAAGCCGCCCTGGACAGCCTGCAGATTTGTGAGCCAGTTCAATCTCTTTTCTTTATAAATTACCCAGTCTCAGTGTTTTTTTTTTATAGCCTGTGAGAATGAATTAATACAAGTGTTTAACCTGAAACCAACAATATTTC
The DNA here is from genome assembly GCF_000001405.40 of Homo sapiens. Lineage (NCBI taxonomy): Eukaryota > Metazoa > Chordata > Mammalia > Primates > Hominidae > Homo > Homo sapiens. The sequence goes on along the minus strand of NC_000012.12, from coordinate 30,141,595 downwards.
AGACTATTATTAATGGCATCATATTAGTTACAAGAAAAGTTCAATGAGCTAGGATGGTGCAATTTGTAACAAAAAAATCTGTGACTAAATAATATATTATTAATAAATAATGACACTTTCTTCTGAAGGAAATTGTTGTTAACCATTATTTCTCCTTCCCTTATTTTAAGCACTTTTCCTTGTTGACTGAATTCCTATGAGAAGTTTCTGACTTCATTCAGCTCCTGCCTGTGAGAATGAAATAATGGAATGCATAGGCGTGAAGTTAAACAATAAGTCTCCACAGACAAGATAGCCACCAGATAAGTGATGTCTGTGGATTCATGTTTGCTTAACATATTAATCCCTTCATTTTAAAGTATCTTGATACAAATTTAAGCCTACTTAATAAGTAAATGTTCTTAGAACTCAATGTCATAAAGGTAGATCAAATTTCTAATTTTGGAAGTTTTATCTCTTCCCCCCACAGTTCTATCTGTGTTTCTTGGCATTTCCTCTCATTCAGTTTGATTCAAAATTTCCTTGTTTAAAGACATCCAGGGACACATGTTTGTATGAAAATTTTTCTTTTCTTGGGAGGTAAAAATATTTGTCTTTAGTTGTAGAGCTTCTGATGGCTACGTCAAGACCATTATCACTTAACTTGGGGAAGCAGAAAGGTGGTGGTGGTGATGGGTACCAAGGGTGCAGTCACTTTGTCACAGCATTTGAGTAGTGGCACAAACCAAACCAATCAACAAAACTATTGTTGTATCACCTATTGTTTGTGTATTTGAACTCTGTAATAAGATGTGTATACATTTAGAATTATCGTTTCTTCTGGATGAATTAACTCCTGTGTCATGAAATGCCTCTCTTTATCAACAGTAGTGTTCCTTATTCAGAACATTAAGGAATATTCTGCTATTAATATTGCCACTCCAGCTTTCTTTTGATTGGTATTTGCATGGTATATATTTTCCATTCTTTTAATTTATCTATGTCTTTATATTAAAGTGGGTTTTCTTTAGACGGCACGTAATTGGGTCTTGCTTTTTCTCATCCAATCTGACAATCTTTGCCTTTTAATTGAGGTGCTTATACTATTAATTTCTTTGTTGATATGTTTATATTTAATTTTACCATCCTACTAGTTGTCTTCTATTTGCCCTATTTGTTCTCTGTTCATTTGTTTCCCTTTTATTGTCTTCTTTTGAATTCTTTATGATTCTATTTCACCTCTCCTATTGGCTTATGTATTTGTCTGCTTTGTGTTGCTTTGAAGAAATACTGGAGGCTGGATAATTTACAAAGAAAAGAGATTTATTGGGTTTACAGTTCTGCAAGCTGTACAAGCATGGCACCAGCATCTGCTTGGCTTCTGGTGAGGCCTCAGGAAGCTTTTACTCATGGAATAAGGTGAAAGGGGAGCAGATATGTCCCATGATGAGAGAGGAAGCAAGAGGGATGCCAGGATCTTTTAAACAACCAGCTCTTGCATGAACTAATAGAGCAATAACTCACTCATTACTATGGGGATGGCACCAAGCCTTTCAAGAGGGATTCGCTCCATGACCCAGACATCTCCCACCAGGCCCCAGCTCCAACACTGGGGATCACATTTTGACATGTGCTTTGGAGGGGACAAATATCCAAACTATATCAGTTTGTTAGTTAGTCTCCTTTTTAACTATTGCATTACATATCTTTATCTTACCACAGTCCAGATTCAATAATATGGCCTTCCCCGTATTGTGTAAGCATCTTACTATCATTTATTTCCATTTCCTCTGTCTTGTCCTTTGTCCTACTGTTCCCATATATTTTACAAAAGATACTGTGCCTATTTTGACTTCAGACAATCATCTTTTAAAGATATTAAAATTAGGAAAAATGTCTTTTATATTTACCCACATTTTTTATTTTCCTGTACCCTTTCTTTCTTTGTGTAAATAGAAATTTCTATCTTATACCACATTCATTCTGCCTAAAGAACCTCCTTTAGCATTGCTTGTCATGCTGGACTACTGGCAAATAATTACTCTCAGATTTTGTTTGTCTGAAAAAAAAAATTCATTTCACCCTCATTTTAGAAAGGTATTTTCACTAGAAACAGAATTCTGGCTTGACAGATTTTTTCCCTTCAATTCTTTCATGATGTTATTCCATTGTCTATTGCTTACATGATTTCTGATAAAAAAAATTGTGCTAATTCCTATCTTTGTGCCTCTGCTGGAAATGTTTCTTTTTTTCTCTGGTTACCTTCAAGATTTTCCCTTTATGTATGGTTTTAGCAGTTTGACTGTGATGTGCTTGGCTTGGTATTTATACTGCTTAGATTCTCTGAACTTCTTGGATCTATGGTTTGTTTTCTTTCATTAATTTTGAAGCTTACCTCTTCAGATACTCTTTCTGTCCTGTCCTCCCCTTTCTATATTTTGTCTGGTACTCCAAGTATATGTATGCAAGACCATTTGATGGCCCCACATCTTTGGGATAATCTGTTCTTTTTTCCTTACTATTTTTCTTTGTGGTTGAGTTTGGATAATTTCTATCAGCCTATCTTCAAGTTCACTGATTCTTTTCTCTATTGTGTCCAGTCTGCTGATAAGCCTGGAAAGAATTCTCCATTATGTATACACTGGATTTTCTATTTGAATCTTTTTTAGCGATTTCATCTCTGATGAAATTTCCCATTTATTAATACATGTTGTCCACCTTTTACACTAAACCATTTAACACATAAGTTATAGTTCTTTTAAAGTTGCTGACTGATAGTTTCAACATCTCAGTCATTTCTGGGTTAATGACAGCTGAAAAGAGCACACTGCTTCTTCTGGCAGGCCCTCAGTTGTTATCAGTGGTTGAGCTGGGTTTGTTGTTGATGCTGCTGTAGTTACTCTCAGTGCACCAGTCTTCAAATTCCTCAGCGGTGGCTGCTGCTGCTTCTTTGTGCTTAGAGTGAGGCCTGTATGACTGCAGGGCTCTTTTCAGTGTTTCTGTTCTGCTCTCAGCTTTCTGCAGGCCCTGCATGCCTGAGCTGCATGTTTTTTTTTTTTTTTTT